>NT_167247.2:3349939-3597356 GCF_000001405.40 Homo sapiens
GGCCAGCCTCTAACTCCAGCCCCCTTCAGCATCTCCGGCTACGACATCCCTGAGGGCACAGTCATCATTCCGAACCTCCAAGGCGCCCACCTGGATGAGACGGTCTGGGAGAGGCCACATGAGTTCTGGCCTGGTATGTGGGGGGCCGGGGGCCTGCCGTGAAAATGTGGTGGAGGCTGGTCCCCGCTGCCGCTGAACGCCTCCCCACCCACCTGTCCACCCGCCCGCAGATCGCTTCCTGGAGCCAGGCAAGAACTCCAGAGC
Source organism: Homo sapiens (assembly GCF_000001405.40). Lineage (NCBI taxonomy): Eukaryota > Metazoa > Chordata > Mammalia > Primates > Hominidae > Homo > Homo sapiens. The sequence continues at coordinate 3,350,204 of NT_167247.2, forward strand.
TCTGGCCTTCGGCTGCGGTGCCCGCGTGTGCCTGGGCGAGCCGCTGGCGCGCCTGGAGCTCTTCGTGGTGCTGACCCGACTGCTGCAGGCCTTCACGCTGCTGCCCTCCGGGGACGCCCTGCCCTCCCTGCAGCCCCTGCCCCACTGCAGTGTCATCCTCAAGATGCAGCCTTTCCAAGTGCGGCTGCAGCCCCGGGGGATGGGGGCCCACAGCCCGGGCCAGAGCCAGTGATGGGGCAGGACCGATGCCAGCCGGGTACCTCAGTTTCTCCTTTATTGCTCCTGTACGAACCCCTCCCCTCCCCCCTGTAAACACAGTGCTGCGAGATCGCTGGCAGAGAAGGCTTCCTCCAGCGGCTGGGTGGTGAAGGACCCTGGCTCTTCTCTCGGGGCGACCCCTCAGTGCTCGGCAGTCATACTGGGGTGCGAGAGAGGTGGGCAGCAGCTCAGCCTCCCCCCGCTGGGGAGCGAAAGTTTCTTGGTCTCAGCTTCATTTCCGTGAAGGGCACCGAGAACTCGAAGCCCTTCCAGTGGTACCAGCTCACTCCCTGGGAAAGGGGTTGTCAAGAGAGAGTCAAAGCCGGATGTCCCATCTGCTCCTCCCGTTCCCCTTAAGGAGGTGGCTCCCAGCACTCAACCAACCTCCCCGCAGAGCTCCCTTCCTGACCCTCTGCCGCAGAGGATTGAGGCTTAATCCTGAGCTGGTCCTTTCCAGCCAATAAATCAACTCCAGCTCCCTCTGCGAGGCTGGCATGATTGTTCCATTTCACCCAGCCGCTCAGTCCCTTGCCTGTTACACTGTGGGGCTGAAACCTAGGCAGGCCGAGCCCCAGCCACCCCAGCTCTGAGCCGCCTCCCCACCCCTCACCTGATGGTCCACTGTGCTCCCGTAGAGCCCGTTGAGGTTGGCGTAGTGGCAGTTCCTGTACCACCAGGCCCCTCGGTAGGAGACAGCGCAGGAGATGAGCAAGTTGTTGGGGTTCCGATCACGGGCAGAGAAGACACTGCCGCTGTGGTAGCTCATGGAGTCCCCTGGGCAGGGTGGAGGAAGGAGCCATGAGGGCCTCCCCTCCCAGCCTCACCCTCCCAGCCTCACAGCCTCTGCTTACCTGCGGTGCCGTGGTAGCCCTCCAAGTGGAGGCGGTAGTACTCCGCAGCCGAGTCTACGTGGAAGGAGTCGTACTGGGCGAACACAGCCTCGTCCCCAGCCCGCAGGTCCACGCGCATGGAGTAGTCACCTGCCTGTGTCAGGCTGTGCAGGGCCTCATTGCCTGGGGGTGGGATACGTGCCCTCATCAGGGTCCTGGTGTCCACAGGGCCCCCATCCCCATCCGTAGTTCCCCAGTCCCTGTGAGGCACTGACCCAGCCAGAACTCTCCAGAGATGTTCCCAAAACCATGGGCATAGTCCTCCCAGTCCCTCCAGAAGTCTGTCTGTCCATCCATGTGGCGCTGGAACACCTGGGAAGCAAGTGGGGGCACCATCAGCCTCTGGCTCCCGGGGCAACAGCCCCTTGCCCTGCACAGACCCCTGGGCTTCCCAATGCCACCCACCAGCCAGCCGCCCCCATCAGTCTCCATGTCCCAAAACACGTTCAGGGGCCGCTCCCGGTTGCCGTTGAGGAAGATGGTGCTGGTCCTGGAGGCACCGGCTCCGTTCTGCATCTCCTCCCCGCAGTCCCTGGGGAAGGGGATCCGCAGCCCACCTGGGAGAGGAGAGCAGGGGCCAGTCCTTTTCCAAGCCTTAGGCCCTGGCTGCCCACCCAGCCCCCGGCCCCGGGCCCGTGCGTCCAGGTACCCGTGGTGAAAGAGGTGGACACGGGCGGCAGGAGGCTCTGGCCCCACATGGCCTGGAGCCGTGCATTGTAGGAGGTGGAGGGAAAGAGGCCAAGGAGCTGGTGAGATGTGATCCCTCCTGGGAGCAGGATCTCCTGTGGGACAGACAAGGGGGGGTCAGGGGAGAGGGAGGTGGAGACCCTCCGGGAGGGCCAGAGGCAGCACCTCCTGGAATCACCCAGGGAGGGGAGTTGGGTCAGTGGGGCCGGGGCACCTGGGTCTGTCCACCAGGGGTGTGGAAGCTGAGCAGGTAGCCTGCGGGCCGGACTGGGGGCTCAGTCCAAGTGAGCAGGGCGGTGCGGGGGGTCACTTCCTTGGCCTCCAAGTCCCGAGGGGCCTCTAGCCCTAGGAGGGAAAGCAGGAAGAGGAGATGGGGATGAGGCCCAACCTGGCTCCCTCTACCTCCTCTCCCTGTCCCACACACCCCACAGACCCTACCTGTGGTGAAGGTGATGCTGGCTGGGGAAGTGAGGTTGGGGCCCCGCAGGCCACGCACTGTGGCGGTGTAGTTGGTGTGGAGGACAAGGTCATGCAGGGGGTAGTCCACCGCGCTGCCTGGGGTCTCCGCCTGCAGAGGCGGGGCTGGGAGTGTAGAGAGGGGCATCAAGGCCTGCCCCCTCCATCCTCGGCCAGAGTCCAGCCTCCCCCCTGCAATCCCCACCCTGAACAAGTCCCCTCCAGAGGCCTCAGGCCTGCTCACCCCCAGGGGCTGTGACCTGGACGTCATAGGTGTCCACAGGATTCTGGGGGGGCTTCCAGTGCAGCACGGCGAATCCCTCGGTCAAGTTCAGTGCACGCAACTGTGTGGGACCGTCAGGAACTGGGGGAAGGGGAGGGGCTCAGAAGGGTCCCCGCGGCTCTCTCTACTCCGTGCCTCCCCAGACTCCACTGGCCTCCCGTCCGCAATCGGAGCCTCCACCACCTCCCTTTCACCCTCCTCGTTCTCTCTCAACTCCCACCCATGCCGTTTTCTTGACTCCCACCTGGAGTTTCTGGGTCCGGGCCCGGCCGTCCACCTGCACACTCTGAGGCTCCCCTGAAAACGTTGGGGATCGAGGGTTACCCAGGGAACCCCAGGGCGGCTGGAGGGTGGGCAGAGTGCAGGGGGGAGAGGAAATGCGAGGCGATGAGCACATGGCAAAGGCACCACCTCCGTCCGCCAGCTGGTAGGAGACTTTGAAGCTGTCCGCCCGGGATGGTGGGGGCATCCAGTTGACCTTGGCTGAGGTCTCCCTGATTTCACTGAATTGGAGGTCACGGGGGCTCTCCAGAACTGCAGAGGGGTCAAGGAACAATGACGCAGGCAGGGGCAGGGAGGCTCCTCCCTGCGAGTCCCCCCCTCGCCTCTGCTCCAGCACAGGCTCACCACCCCTTTTCCTCTAGTCCCCAGGAATGGAAGTCGCTCTGCAGATTCCTCCAGGCCCACCACCAACTCGCCCACCCCCACCGCTGGCTGAGGCACTAGGTCCCCCCCGTGAAGTACAAAGACCCCCACTTTGGGGCAGAGTGTGTGTGGGTCCTTACCTGGGCTGAGGGTGCGGGCGGTTCCCTGGATGCTGTCGGCCTTGTGGGGTCCTCGCAGCCCATACAGTGTCAGGCTGTACAGAGTCCCGGAACGCAGGTCCCGGAGCACGGCCGAGTGCCGCGTCCCCGGCACCATCAGCTCGCGCTGCAGCAGTGGACGCGGATGCGGCTCCAGAGTGCTTGGTGATGGAACCCCAAAGCGGAGCAGGAAGGAGTCGAAGGCCCCCGGTGGGGCCTCCCAGTTGAGCCTCAGTGAACTGGTGGTCACGTCAGTCACAGACAGCTGGGACAGGCGGGGCCTTGACTCCTCTGAGGTCTGACCAGCAGGAGCCAGCCCTGCACGGAGTGGGTGGGGGAGAAGGGATTGGAGACAGAAGCACACCAGCTTGGTGACCCAGAGCACGTCCCTTCCACCCCCCTCCCTGCCCCCGTTTCTCTATCTGTAACCAGGGACTTGCAGCCACAGGGGGGTCCTGTGGGGCAGAGCTAAAGGCCACTCGCATCCAGCCCATCCATCCTCTCTCCCTGGTACCCGCCTCACGCTCTTTCCCTGCGACCACCCCTTCTGAGCCCCCGTTTCTCCCTTCTGAGTCCTAGGCTAGAGGCCGGAGACGCCTGGTGGTACCTGTGGTGCCCTCAGCTGAGAGGGGCCCCAGGCGCTTCCCTTCATGGAGGCCATAGAGGAGGAACCTGTAGGGGGTGCTGGGCTCCAGGCCTGAGATGAGGATCTTGCTCTGGTCGCCGTCCACGAGCAAGGCCTGGGGCTGCCCGTTCGTGTCCTCATACTGGACCACGAAGGAATCAAAGGGGCCCTGGGCCACGCTCCACGAGAGGCGCATGGAGTCTGGGGTTGTGTCGGTCACGGTCAGCACTCCTAGGCGGGGCTCTTCAGGAGGCTCAGGGGCCTCTGGGGCTAACTCTGGGGCTGGTGTGTCCTCTTCTGGGGCTGCGTGGGAGAAGCCCAGGGGAGAATCTGAGTGAGGGGCGCCATGGGGTGCTCCATTTTTATCTTCCAGGCTTGGCCCAAGGCTGAGGTGGGAAGTTTATAGGTCCAGGCCCAGTCAGACAATGAAGTCGCTGTGGCCTCGTGACTCCTGCGAGCTCCCGCGCTGTCTGAGTCAGGTGCTCGCTTCCCCCTTCCACACCCCGGTGTCCTGCCGAGCCCACCTCGAGATATCACAGGCTCTGGCCCCACCCATGCCGGGATACATTCACTGAGCTTGAGGAGTGTGGTGCTCCCTTCTGAGAGAAGCTGAGGGTGGAACTGGCTGGTTGAGGTGACTGGCAAATCCCACCAGCCGTGCCGTGGTCAGGCCTGTCTGAGGTGGGCATCAGCGAGCTCTGGAAGAGGAGCCTGTACCACAAATGCAGCCACTGCTGTTGGTTTCTGTGTCCCCGCTCATTTTGTTTTCCAGTGATGTTCCTCTTAAGAAAATGCTCCTGACTCATCCACGGCAGGGAGGTTTGCCACTATCTGGACAAGGCCACCCTTCGGGGAGGCGACAGCAGCCCCAGCGAGTAATGAGGAGCAGCGGCAGTGACGGGGCAGAGTCGGGGCTGGGAGATTAGAGAGCCCCTCCCAGGGCCTTTCCCTCCCGCCTGGCCTGGCTCCTGCTCTGGACTCCTTGATGGATGTTGAAGCCCACAGGGCTGCAGACTCCTCCTCCTTCCTGGGCACAGGCCAGGTCACCCCACTCCGGCCTGCCCACTCCTGCAGTCATCTTTGTCTTCAGACCAAATGCACAAGTACTTTGTTAAAGGTATCCCATCTGCAGCTCAAGCCTGCAGCCCCTCACCTTTTGGTGGCTCCTCAGGCCTCTAGGCCTTATTCACCTTTCCCCTCTCCTGTGCCACTTCTCCTCTAGGGCGCCAGGCTGTCCTTGGCATGGTCCGGAAGGCAAAGTACCGGGAGCTGCTCCTATCAGAGCTCCTGGGCCGGCGGGTGCCTGTCGTGGTGCGGCTTGGCCTCACCTACCATGTGCACGACCTCATTGGGGCCCAGCTAGTGGACTGGTGAGTCTTTCCCTGGCCTCTGGCAGATTATGGAGCAATGACCCAAAGTGGGATTTCCTCCCAGCTCATGCTTAGTTTCCTAGTGAAGGCCAGTGGCTCTCATTCTTCTCTGGAACCCGGGAGCACCCCTTCCCAAGTTCTAAGTTCTCCTCACAGCTTGAGCCTAGGCGTCTGGCTCCAGCCTTGTCTTTCTCCTGCACAGCATCTCTACCACTTCAGGAACCCTCCTCCGCCTGCCAGAGACATGAAGATTCTGCTCATCATTGCTCAGCTCCTCAGAGTGGGCCGGGAGGGGACTAGAAGAGCTGCATGATGGTGGCTGAGACAGGGTCACCTTGGGAAGGCTTGGGAGCCAGGATGAGTGTCGGGCTCTCGTGTGTGCAAAAGGTCAGATGTGACTGCTGCTGTTTGCCTGGTTTCTGACCCAGTGGTGGGGTTTGAGCAATGCTTCTCTGCCCTTCCATGGAAAGTGGAACCAGAAATGGTGCCAAGGCTGTGGCTGTTCCCTTTCGTGTAAAATGGTGCTGTTATTACTCTGTCTTGAAATAGGAAGGTGGGATTTCTGGGGAGGCTGGTGAAGGAGGGCAGGGTTCTTTTCTCTACGTGTCATGTTAAAATTGCCAAATAAAGTACCTCTGCCTGTGATATTTTCTGGATGTCCTTTATTTACTGTGACGTGTGTTTGGGTGCCTTGTTTAGGGGTAGAGGTGAAGTCTGAGCTTTGCCTCATTCAGAGAGGAAAGGGGTCAGGGGTTCACTCTGACGTTCAGGCCATTCTCCCTGTGGAGTGGTGAGGGTGTACCTAATCTCCTAAACCACGGAATTTCTGTTAGGGCCTAAAAAAGCAAAAGCCTAGTATAGTTCAATTTGTGTTGGAATGAAAGTAAGAGACAAGTGTCTTAGAAGCCTGTCATTGTTTTGTGAGGGCCTTTAAATATCCTGTACTCGTGGGCCATGTTGGGCCCTTGTACGCCCAGGTATACATGAGCTTGTGTGCACCTATACCCTGATACAGATATACCTGGTAGGGGGAGGTGCTCAGGCACTGGAATGAGAGGAGTTAACGGGGAAGGACAGGGTTATTTCTGGGCCAAGATTCAGAGTTTCCCATGGACACCCAGGTGTCCGGGGTGCCCCCACAACTCTGGGCCTGAGGCCAGTTGCACTTCTTGGCTGTCACGTGGTTTCCCAGCTTAGCTGGGCTGGGGGAGGAGCAAGGTCCAGAGTCAACTCTGCCCCGAGGCCTAGCTTGGCCAGAAGGTAGCAGACAGACAGACGGATCTAACCTCTCTTGGATCCTCCAGCCATGAGGCTGCTCTGGGGGCTGATCTGGGCATCCAGCTTCTTCACCTTATCTCTGCAGAAGCCCAGGTCCTGGAGGCGGGATGCTGGGTGCTTGGATTGGGGCAGGGCTGGCATCGGGACCCGATTCAGGAGTGAGGGAGAGCAGGGGTGGAGGTGTCAGAGCGAAGTCTGACTGCTGATCCTGTCTGTTCTCCCCAGGTTGCTCTTGTTCTCTCCTTCTGTGGTTCATCTGGGGGTCCCCCTATCGGTGGGGGTGCAGCTCCAGGATGTGCCCCGAGGACAGGTAGTGAAAGGATCAGTGTTCCTGAGAAACCCATCTCGTAATAATGTCCCCTGCTCCCCAAAGGTGGACTTCACCCTTAGCTCAGAAAGAGACTTCGCACTCCTCAGTCTCCAGGTAACCAGACCCCATGCCCTCCTGCTGCTTGTGGGGGCCTCCTGCCCTGTTCCCATCTGTCTTGTAAGTGTCATCATCTTCCCACTGGCCTCCTCCCCTCCTGTCTTCCCACCCTGGCATTCTCCTTCCACGTTTCTCCCTTGGTCTCTGTCCTTTTTGGTCAGCTGTCTCTTGCTCTGTGACCCGCTCCCTCTCCCTCTCCCTCTCCTGACAGGTGCCCTTGAAAGATGCGAAGAGCTGTGGCCTCCATCAACTCCTCAGAGGCCCTGAGGTCCAGCTGGTGGCCCATTCGCCATGGCTAAAGGACTCTCTGTCCAGAACGACAAACATCCAGGGTATCAACCTGCTCTTCTCCTCTCGCCGGGGGCACCTCTTTTTGCAGACGGACCAGCCCATTTACAACCCTGGCCAGCGGGGTGAGTCTCAGCCCCAGGGCCTCAACCTTTAACCCCCTCCGAGCCCTCTCAGGATGAGTTTGGTGCCCCCTAAGTGAGATAACCTGAAAGAAAGTGCCACACAGAAGGGGTGCTTAGGAAACATTTGTCCCCTGCTCCCTCTGTGGAGTTTGACCCACCCTCCCCTTGCACATGGACCCCTGCTCACCTCTCTCCTCCTCCACTCCCAGTTCGGTACCGGGTCTTTGCTCTGGATCAGAAGATGCGCCCGAGCACTGACACCATCACAGTCATGGTGGAGGTGAGTCCCCGACCTCTGGCCTTCCTGATCCTGGCCACTGATGTGACCTCCTGCCTGTGAGCACTTCTCCCCTTGCAGAACTCTCACGGCCTCCGCGTGCGGAAGAAGGAGGTGTACATGCCCTCGTCCATCTTCCAGGATGACTTTGTGATCCCAGACATCTCAGAGTGAGCGCTCCCAATGTGGGGGCTGCCCCCAAGCTACACCACCCCAATTCCTGTTAGGCTCTCCACCTCCCACACAGAGGCACGTCCCCAGATGCCCTGACCCTCAGCCTCCTGAGCCTCTGGTTAACCCCCACAGTCCTCTTCCCAGGGAAGCAGGCTGCTGGCTCTCCGTGCCCCACTGTACAGATGGGCTGAGCCCCTTCCTTGTCCATTCTCAGGCCAGGGACCTGGAAGATCTCAGCCCGATTCTCAGATGGCCTGGAATCCAACAGCAGCACCCAGTTTGAGGTGAAGAAATATGGTGAGAGCTGGAAACTGGAGGGACAGGCAGCTGCTTTCCTGAAGGAAATAAGGGTGGAAGGAGAGGTACTGGGAGCAGCTCAGGGCAGGGAGATATGGGTGCCACAGCCCTGAGCAGAGGGGAGTCTTTGAGCTGGAGTCTGACCTGCCTATCCCTTCACCCTGGGTCAGTCCTTCCCAACTTTGAGGTGAAGATCACCCCTGGAAAGCCCTACATCCTGACGGTGCCAGGCCATCTTGATGAAATGCAGTTAGACATCCAGGCCAGGTAATACCTCCCTCCCCACCTCTGCCCACCAGCACCGGGTCCTGCTCCCTACTCAGTATGAATGGGCTCCTGCTTCCCTGCCCTCGGGCCATTATTCCCCCCAGCCCTTGGCCCACCCTCTTCTCTCTGCCACGACAGGTACATCTATGGGAAGCCAGTGCAGGGGGTGGCATATGTGCGCTTTGGGCTCCTAGATGAGGATGGTAAGAAGACTTTCTTTCGGGGGCTGGAGAGTCAGACCAAGGTAGGAAGGAGAATAGGGGCTGGGGAGGGGAAGGGGCAAGGGAGGTGAGGTGGGAGACTCAGTCTCACCCTATGTCCTGTTTCTTTCTATGCCCCAGCTGGTGAATGGACAGAGCCACATTTCCCTCTCAAAGGCAGAGTTCCAGGACGCCCTGGAGAAGCTGAATATGGGCATTACTGACCTCCAGGGGCTGCGCCTCTACGTTGCTGCAGCCATCATTGAGTATCCAGGTGGGTGACTTTCCCTTATTGTAACCCCAGACCCTTGCCTCTGACCTCTGAGCTAACCCTCTGTCCTCCAGCACCAACACCACCCCACTTCTCACATCTCATCTCAGACTCAAAACCAGGAAACACCCAGGAGACCTGGTTTCTCTCCAACTCTGTCTCTGTGACTCGGCCCTTTTCCCTGGCTGAGTTTATTTATTTCTTTGCTCGTTCTGCTCATTCCTTCACTCCTCCAGTGGACATGTGTTGTTCAATGCCCCGTGCTAGGCCTCAGCATGCACAGACATGTTGGGGACCAGCCTCAACGCCACCCGTAGGGTTCCTGAAGTCCATTGGTGACACAGGAATGAGAAGAGACAGGTTAAGAGTTCATAAAGAGTGGGGGCCAGGGGGCCAATTGCAAAATGGAGGCTGCAAAAGGCTCAGAGCTCTGGTCTCCACACTATTTTTTGAGTACAGTCACTCAGATCTAAGAAGCAGATGTTCAGGGAGAAACAGTGAAAGGGAGGCAGTGGGTCATAGGCGTAATCTATAGCAATAGAGTTTTAAATGAATCTCCTTTGTGCTCAAACAGCATGTCTTTAAATTATCGGAGAGTAGCTGGTGGAAGTGGGCTTAGCTAGAAGACTGCATGTCTGTCCAATGCTTCAAAGGAGGGTCTTTCTCCTTGAACAGAGTGTTTACAGATAAGACAGGGGGTCTCACTCTGAGCATGGGAACATGATGGCAATTAGGAGGCTTTTCTTCTCAGAGGCCTCTTGTGGCTTTCCACAACTTATTGTCTCATATTTTTATGGACAGTTTATACAGGCACCCCACAAGTCCTTTTCCCAACATGCCCCCCTCCCTTTTTTTTTTTTTAACCGCTATTGCTATTATGGCTTATTTGTGGTGTTTGGTCTGTTTTCAGAAGTGTCTTTTGCATCTGTAGACTAAAAGTAAACAGCATAAACAGATACACATTAAAGTAAAATTTGTAATAGTTGATCCTTTAATGGTCTTAATCTGTTTAAGAGGATTTATGTTTGAAAGTCCGTCAGTAGCTCCAATGAGAATGTCAGTCTCAGGCAGGAGGGTTAAATGAGCCTGAGATGCTTTAAAAACCTGTTTTTTTAAAATTTGGTTATATTTAATGTTAAATTTTTATTTTTTTCTTTTAGATGATGTCTAACTTTTTAAAAATGATGTTTAGTAGTATTATACGAATGGGGAGTTATGTAGAAATTGGAAGTATTTCAATTACATTGTACTTCTAATTGATGTTTTAAGTTTATTGTACGATCTTCCATTTAAATAACAGTCTGTCTAAGATCATTTGTTTGATTTGTCAATTGTTGGTCTATTTGGGTCTGAGAATTCCACAATTTTGAGGAATTTTTTGTTAACTATTTATATATTTTGTAGTTTGAACAGAGGAGTGTAAAGCAATTCCAGCAGCCGCAGCAGTAGCTGTGACTGCAATAAGGCCCATAAGACTGTTATAAGGGTAAAAATAAATCTCTTTGTTTTGGTAAACACTTTTTTTTAAAACATTTTTGTGACAATATGAATGGAAGGAGAGGCTTTCTAAGGTCTATTGAGGGAAACCAGTATCCAAACTCCTTTCTTAGTTTTTATCAGTAACACAGATGTTTTTACACCGAACGTGGAATTAATACAGGTGAAAAGGTGACAGTTTTGACAAGTAATAGTTTGAGAATTAGGTCGAATGTCAATATTTTTGACCATTAACATAAAAGGAGGGTTGACACAACTCTGAATGGGCACTGTTTTGTTGGAAGAAAACTGATACGCAAATTGAAGTTTTTAACCTTTTTTTTTTAAAGATAATATATTTTTTTCTAAACTTAAATATGAGATTGGGCCATTATTAACTTTCATAATTTGGAGTGTTTAGGGCCTATTATTGGATTAATTATTTTGGGATGTGGGCCAGCTGTACTAAAATTGGTCCAAATTATGGGAAAATGAGCACGTTTTTCAGTGTAAGTAGTGTTACCTTTTTGATAGTATAGTTTCTGTTTTAGTTTTGTCTTGTATTTATTATTTTGATGGGTACAATTAACTGTAAAGGTCCCCTCAGGGGACCAATTAATGACAATTTCATAGGAATTATTTTGTAGTACCATAGTGTGATCAGAGATGTAATTTTTTTTAATTAATATTTTTAAATTATTTGACCATTGTTAAGGTTGTTGGCACCTCTTTTTTGGGGGCTTAAACTGTTAATTGAATTGAACTCTGTGAATGATCCGGGCTCCATCCAGAAAATAAATGATAGGATACTGGTCTTTGATTATGACCTGGAATTTTAACTAGTCAATGTTGTCGGTAGCCTTTTAGGCAACCGATAGTTGGCCTTATGTAAAGAGGGGGGAACTGATAACCTATGGACACATTTATTAACTTTTTTTTTTTTCCTTTGGGTGAGAGGGCCCATGAGTATTTGTAGGCTTAGGGATCCAAACGCTATTATTAACATAAACTTCAACTGGGGGTTTTAACCATGTGACAGGCCTAATTAAAGGCAGGAATGGGACACATGCCCAATAGGTATAATTTTGGGCTGTTGTAGCCACAGGTTTGTTAGGCGAGGAGGTCACTGTTTTTATTTTGGCTTTGTATTCTAGGATTAGTAAATAACAGAAGACAAACATGAGTATAATTAGTAACTTTTTTTTTTAGTAAAAGAGTGACCTGTAGTGTTACTTGGCATCTTAGTTTACTATATGTTATTAATGAGGAACCCCACTGGGGGTATGTTAATTTATTCTAGCTAAGCAGTTATGTTATTAGAAGCTGAGAAGGGGGTGTTTGTTAAAGTAACAGGGCAGAAGAAAGGCGGATTTAAGATACGAGCTTAATACAGTGTAGCAGGTATAGGTAGTAGGCAAAGTGAGAGAATTAAAAATGAATAAATTATTTGGCTTAGACTTTTGTTTTTTTAGTATAATGTCTGAGGCCTGTGTTGTTTGTGGAAGTCGCATTGTTGAGGCTGTAGTTCCTGTAGGGTCTTTTTTAGGCTGGTTCAAATGTTTTTTTATTTTTTAATTTTTTATCCTTTGATGAGGATGTAGTCTTTAGGCTGGTACTGGAAATTTTAGGAGTGGCGTCTGTGTTAAGAGACTTTTTACAATTTTTAAAGAGCAGGTTAGTGTTTTAAGAAAAACTTGTGTTTTATTTTAATGTTTAGTTTATAGAAAACTGGATGATATCTTTTTAACTTTAGTAAATACGTTTACACACGGAATTTTTTACAATTATCATTTTAAAACTTGTTTAGATCTTTAAAACAAAATTAAACAACCTTTTTTATATAAATTTTTTATAACTTTTTTTATGACTTTTACAGACAATTTTTAACATGTCTTAACTTTTTATGTTTTATAATTTTTTTACTAAAGGTACATTTTTATAACTTTTTAAATTTTTTTACTTTTTTGTATTTTTTTGATTTTTGTCTTAGTCTTTTTTTTACTTTTATTTTTTTAAATGTGTAATAATTAGATGAGTGTTGGTAACAATGGATGTATGTACATATTTTAGTTTTTAAAATTTAGGGATGTGTTTAACATCTGTTTGCCAGAACTGACTAGGTTCCAATTCTTTACGGTTAACACCTATTGAAGGAGGGTATGTGCCTGTGAGCTGGTAATCTGGGCATTGTGGGATAATTTGTTTAGCCAGCCTCTGTGTAAGTTGAAATTATTTAGATAAGTTTCTCCAATTTTGGTGGAATAATCGATGTGATTGGGTGGCTTGGTCAAGCAGTGATGTCATAACCTGAAGGTCTGCTTGATTATTGCCGTAAGCCAATGGGCCAGGCAGAGAGCTGTGGGCTCGAATGTGTGTAATAAAAGTAGGATGTGTACCTTGGTCTAGTAATTGTTGAAGTTGAAGAAAAAGACCACACAGAGTGGGCTCCAGAGCAAACTTAAGGCTGTAATAGTTTTTAAATAAATACACAGAATAACCTTAGCTCTCTGAATGTTAGTAAATTCAGATCAAGTGATTGGATTATGTGGTCTCCACCAGACTGTTGCTTTTTCATGTTTACCAGACCCACCAGTAAAAACAGCTATGGCTCCTTCCAAAGGGGCATCACAAGTAATTTTTGGAAGAACCTATGTAGTTAATTTTAAGAATTGAAAAGTTTTTAGGATAATGATTATTAATACATCCAACAAATTTTGTTAAATTAATCTGTCATGTAACTGAGTTAATAAATGCCTGTTTAACCTGATTTTTATTTATTGGAACTATAATTTTTATTGGGCTCAGTGCCACAAAGTTTAATAATTCATATATGAGCCTGTCCAATTAGAATTGCCATCTGATTTAAGTATACTGTAAGTGCTTTTATGGTATTATGTGGCAAAAAGGACCATTTAACTAAATCATCATTTTGAACAATAACCCCCATTATTGTGTGGTTAGTGTGAAGTAGGGAACACAATGAATTATAAAGGCAAGTCTGAGTCAATCCTACTGACCTGGGCTTGCTGAATTTTGTTTTCAATTACTGATAACTCTTTCATGGCCTCGGGTGTTAGTTCTCTGTTACTGCGTAAGTTGGTATTTCCCCTCAATATTGAGAAGAGATTAGACATAGCATAAGTAGGAATTGCTAAATTGGGCCAAATCCAATTAATATCTTCTAACAATTTTTGAAAATTATTTAAGGTTTTGAAAGAATCTCTTCTAATTTGAACCTTTTGAGGCTTAATGGCTCTATCCTGTACTTGTATTTTCAAATACTGAAAAGGAGTGGTTGTTTGAATTTTGTCAGGTGCTATAAGTAATTCAGCATTTGTAATTGTCTTTTGCAAAGATTAATAATATTGAATAAGTTGGTCTCTACTTTTTGCTGCACAAATCTGGAAACTGATCTCTAACAGGCTGGATAGTTCTGCCTACAAAAGTTTGACAAACTGTGGGACTATTTAACATACCCTGGGGCAAAACTTTCCAATGATATTTGGCTGCAGGTTTTTTGTTATTAACGGCAGGAATGGTAAAGGCAAATTTTTTGAAATCTGCCTCTGCTAAAGGAATTGTAAAAAAGCAGTCTTTTAAATCTATAATAACAAGCGGTCAGTCTTTAGGGAGCACAGTGGGGGATGGGAGCCCAGGTTGTAAGGCTCCCATCGGTTGAATTACAGCGTTGACGCCATCTACCGGACTTTTTCTTAATTACAAATACTGGGGAATTCCAAGGAGAGAAAGTGGGTGAAATATATCCTTTTTTTAGTAGTTTATTTTATAAAGCACCCCCAACTTTTCCTTAGGGAGCGGCCACTGTTCAACCCAGACGGGGCGCCGGGTCATCCATTTTAAGGGAAATTGCTCCTTCACTGTAATAACTGTAGGGTGAACCTGAATTGCCCCATCTCCATAATGAACTGTGGGTCGGGCAATAATGGGCACGGTGAGCCAAGTCTCGGGCTCCCTCCCCCTGCACCCACTCGGCTGAGGAGGAGGTGGCCATTCTGGACATTTCTCTACAGGAACCGTGGGCTGAACAATTTTTTGAGTAGGTTTAGGGAGACTGGGGAGATTGGCATAAATCATCTTCAGACTCTCCTTTTTGTTAGTACTCGGTAGAGGTGGTTCAGAGTTCTGATTATCAAACTCCTCTCTCTCCTCCTCTGACTCAGCCTCATTATCTGTCTGAAAAGGCTCCAGTGCTGCATGCACCAATGACCAAAGCGACCAAACAGGCAAAGGAATTTCCTTTCCTTCTCTATATGCTCTTTTAAGGTCCTTTCCAACTCCTTCTTAATGTTTTAATTTCAAAGTTTCCTGTTTTGGGAACCAAGGGCAAAATTGTTCCATAGCATGAAACAAATCCATAAGATTTTCCGTATCAACTTTTACCCCACCATGCATGCTTGAAGAGCTGCCGTAGGAAGCTCAAATACGTGGTGTACTTACTTTCAGTTTTTCCCATTGTGTCCCTAGCTTTCTCTGGGCGCCCCGCTTACCTGTAGAGGTTAAAACTTTTATGTCCTTGGGAGTCCTTTGTTCGTTGGTCCTCTGTTTCACATGCTTGAGCGTTTCCTCACCAGATTCTTTTGGGCCCCACGTTGGGCGCCAGAATGTTGGGGACCAGCCTCAACACCACCTGTAGGGTACCTGAAGTCTGGTGGTGACAAAGGAATGAGAAGAGACAGGTTAAGAGTTCATAAAGAGTGGAGGCCAGGGGGCCAATTGCAAAATGGAGGCTGCAAAAGGCTCAGAGCTCTGGTCTCCACACTATTTATTGAGTACAATAACTTAGATCTAAGAAGCAGATGTTCAGGGCAAAACAGTGAAAGGGTAGCAGTGCGTCACAGGCATAATCTACAGCAGAAGCGCTTTAAATGAATCTCCTTTGTGCTCAAACAGCATATCTTTAACTTATCGGAGAGTAGCTAGTGGGAGTGGGCTTAACTAGGAGCCTGCACGTCTGTCCACATTCCAATGCTTCAAAGGAGGGTCTTTCTCCTTGAATACAGTGTTTACAGATAAGAGAGAGCAGGTCTCGCTCTGAGCATGGCAATTAGGAGGCTTTTCTCCTCAGAGGCCTCTTGTGGCTTTCCACAACTTATTGTCCCATATTTTTATGGCCAGTTTATACAGGCACCCCACAAGTCCTTTTCCCAACACAGACAGGAATACGGCAGCCTGTGCCCTGGGAGCTCACTGTCTTGTGGGAGGGAACCACTCAAGCCACTCCCCACTTGTCCTCCTGTCCCTCTCTTCTTGGGCTCTGTCCCCCACCTCTCTCTGTCCTTTGTCTTGCAGGTGGGGAGATGGAGGAGGCAGAGCTCACATCCTGGTATTTTGTGTCATCTCCCTTCTCCTTGGATCTTAGCAAGACCAAGCGACACCTTGTGCCTGGGGCCCCCTTCCTGCTGCAGGTTTCTTCCAGAGGGGAAGGATGAGTAGGGAGGATGTGGTAGTTAGGAGGGCTCAGGGTCTGACCACTCTCTTTTGCCTGCCCTCCTTTACCTGCCTAGGCCTTGGTCCGTGAGATGTCAGGCTCCCCAGCTTCTGGCATTCCTGTCAAAGTTTCTGCCACGGTGTCTTCTCCTGGGTCTGTTCCTGAAGTCCAGGACATTCAGCAAAACACAGACGGGAGCGGCCAAGTCAGCATTCCAATAATTATCCCTCAGACCATCTCAGAGCTGCAGCTCTCAGTAGGACTCCTCGGACCCCTGGGAGATGGTGGGGGAAGGGGAGGAGGGTGAGCTGGGGTCCCAAGGATCCATGGCCTGACTTGGGGGGAAGGTGGGGTACTTGGCTCTGAGCTACTACCCTATTCGCACCTGACCCCCTCTCCAGGTATCTGCAGGCTCCCCACATCCAGCGATAGCCAGGCTCACTGTGGCAGCCCCACCTTCAGGAGGCCCCGGGTTTCTGTCTATTGAGCGGCCGGATTCTCGACCTCCTCGTGTTGGGGACACTCTGAACCTGAACTTGCGAGCCGTGGGCAGTGGGGCCACCTTTTCTCATTACTACTACATGGTGTGCATGAGCTGGGGAGTCACGGAGGGCTGGGGTGCAGGGAAGAGCCCTCTGGGTGGGGCTGGGGGGGTTCAAGGCTGAGGCTGTCCCATGAAGAGGCAACCACTCTTGTCCCTCCCATTCTTGGCCCAGATCCTATCCCGAGGGCAGATCGTGTTCATGAATCGAGAGCCCAAGAGGACCCTGACCTCGGTCTCGGTGTTTGTGGACCATCACCTGGCACCCTCCTTCTACTTTGTGGCCTTCTACTACCATGGAGACCACCCAGTGGCCAACTCCCTGCGAGTGGATGTCCAGGCTGGGGCCTGCGAGGGCAAGGTGACCGGGGTCAGGAGAGATGGCACTTGTGCCGAGGGGGTTGAGGACAGGGTGATTGCCAACAGGGCATGGATTTAGCTTGGGGGCAGTGAGGATACCGGGACTGAAGGAAGCTCTCCCACTCTGACCGCCCCCACCTGCCGCCCCTGCCAGCTGGAGCTCAGCGTGGACGGTGCCAAGCAGTACCGGAACGGGGAGTCCGTGAAGCTCCACTTAGAAACCGACTCCCTAGCCCTGGTGGCGCTGGGAGCCTTGGACACAGCTCTGTATGCTGCAGGCAGCAAGTCCCACAAGCCCCTCAACATGGGCAAGGTTTGTCCAGACCCTCTCCACAGCTCTCTCACCCCTCCATGGCTCATCCCCCTGCTTCCCTGAGCCTTGGGCGCAGCCCCTGGATCCCACTGAGGCTCCCCACAGTCTCTTCCCCACTTGGCCCTGTGGTCTCCATCTCCTGGCTCTGTATCCTTTCCTATCCCCCCATGTGCTGCCCTCTCACCTGTGCCGAGTGCTCAGTCCTGCCCCTCAGCCACACTTGGCTCCTAGCATTCCTGCCTTTCTTGCAGGTCTTTGAAGCTATGAACAGCTATGACCTCGGCTGTGGTCCTGGGGGTGGGGACAGTGCCCTTCAGGTGTTCCAGGCAGCGGGCCTGGCCTTTTCTGATGGAGACCAGTGGACCTTATCCAGAAAGAGTGAGAACAGAGAAGGAAGGGGAGTGGGTGGCGGGAAGATAAGGAAGGAGGAAGGGCCTGAGGGGACCAGCTGGAAGAGTCCGGGCAGGAAGGGCTGGGCAGGGGAAGGGGAGGAGGGGAGGAGGCCGAGTGCCTGACGGCTGGACTGCAGCCTTTCTCTCTACCAGGACTAAGCTGTCCCAAGGAGAAGACAACCCGGAAAAAGAGAAACGTGAACTTCCAAAAGGCGATTAATGAGAAATGTGAGTTGCGGGTGCCTAGGCAGTAGCTTGGGCTCTCCACCTGGGATCCGGGTTGGGGGTCTGCCTCTCTGCCCCTCGGCTCCTTGCTGAACCCACGTGTGGTATTTGGGGCCAGAGATCCGAATTCCGGGATTACGAGTGGAAGGTGGGCAGCTCTCTCCAGCAGCCTCTCTTATGTTGCTGGTCTCAAGGGGTCGGGGCGGGTGCTGAGGTGTATGTCCTTTTTGTCCTCTCATGCTCACCCCCACCTGGCCCTGCAGTGGGTCAGTATGCTTCCCCGACAGCCAAGCGCTGCTGCCAGGATGGGGTGACACGTCTGCCCATGATGCGTTCCTGCGAGCAGCGGGCAGCCCGCGTGCAGCAGCCGGACTGCCGGGAGCCCTTCCTGTCCTGCTGCCAATTTGCTGAGAGTCTGCGCAAGAAGAGCAGGGACAAGGGCCAGGCGGGCCTCCAACGAGGTGAGGGGCTGGGTGGGGCTAGGGCACAGGTGGCGGCGCTTGGAAAGGCAGAACGGTCCCCTCCTCACTCCCGTCCACCGTGGTCCCCCAGCCCTGGAGATCCTGCAGGAGGAGGACCTGATTGATGAGGATGACATTCCCGTGCGCAGCTTCTTCCCAGAGAACTGGCTCTGGAGAGTGGAAACAGTGGACCGCTTTCAAATGTGAGAGTGTGTGCCGGCCCGGCCTTTTCTCTGTGCTGTGTCTCGGGGCCAGCCGGGGTAGACGGGCCTTCTCTGCCTTTCCCTACACAGATTGACACTGTGGCTCCCCGACTCTCTGACCACGTGGGAGATCCATGGCCTGAGCCTGTCCAAAACCAAAGGTGATGTCACCCTGTCTGGGCCTCAGGTGACCCTGCTTCCATTTCCCTGTACCCCAGCTCCCTGTTCCCTTTGCTCTTAGTGTAGGAAGAGGGTCCAGTGATCTGGGGAGGTCTGTGCCAGCGTGCAGCTGGCGTGGGCCAGAGGGCAGAGGCGGACTGAGACAGAGCTGGGTCACCCCCACCCCTCCCTCCTGTGGCCCTGAAGCTTTGATGGCCCCTCTGATCTCTGCCCCTGTGCCCACGCTTCCTTTCCCTCAGGCCTATGTGTGGCCACCCCAGTCCAGCTCCGGGTGTTCCGCGAGTTCCACCTGCACCTCCGCCTGCCCATGTCTGTCCGCCGCTTTGAGCAGCTGGAGCTGCGGCCTGTCCTCTATAACTACCTGGATAAAAACCTGACTGTGAGGCCCCATAGGAGCCTGAGCATACAGGAGTTGGGGGAGCCAGGGCCCAGTGAGGGGTGGGGAGGCTAACCGGGCCAGGACTCTGGCCATCCTCGTTTTCCTGCCCTCAGGTGAGCGTCCACGTGTCCCCAGTGGAGGGGCTGTGCCTGGCTGGGGGCGGAGGGCTGGCCCAGCAGGTGCTGGTGCCTGCGGGCTCTGCCCGGCCTGTTGCCTTCTCTGTGGTGCCCACGGCAGCCGCCGCTGTGTCTCTGAAGGTGGTGGCTCGAGGGTCCTTCGAATTCCCTGTGGGAGATGCGGTGTCCAAGGTTCTGCAGATTGAGGTGAATGGAGCACCCCTGAATATAAGTCCCCGGGCCCCCAGCTTTGTCCTCCACCCTCAGCACTCTCTCTGCTGGCCAGGCCAGGGGCCCAACACCCGAACCAATGCCTTGGTCTGTTCCCATCTTCTACAATTCTGATCCAACTCTGTCCCTGGAGTTGAAACTCAAAGTTCTGGGGGAGTCTGTGCTAGCAGGGCAGGCTGTAGTCCTGTGTGACCTCACAACCATGTTTTCCCTGAGACAGAAGGAAGGGGCCATCCATAGAGAGGAGCTGGTCTATGAACTCAACCCCTTGGGTGAGTGACCCTCTACCTCCAGCCATTGGTTTCCTAAGTGGGTACAGGTGGTGGGGGATGTGGACAGCAGGACAGGCTGCCAACTTCCCCCATTTCCCCAGACCACCGAGGCCGGACCTTGGAAATACCTGGCAACTCTGATCCCAATATGATCCCTGATGGGGACTTTAACAGCTACGTCAGGGTTACAGGTGGGAGTGCCCTTTAGTCCCTTCCCAGTGGCCACCTTCGGATTCATGTGGGACCTGTGGATCCCTGCTTGGTCCCACTCCCCGTGAGCCTCTGACACAGAGTCCTCAGACCTCCACCCTCTCCCTCCCATGTAGCCTCAGATCCATTGGACACTTTAGGCTCTGAGGGGGCCTTGTCACCAGGAGGCGTGGCCTCCCTCTTGAGGCTTCCTCGAGGCTGTGGGGAGCAAACCATGATCTACTTGGCTCCGACACTGGCTGCTTCCCGCTACCTGGACAAGACAGAGCAGTGGAGCACACTGCCTCCCGAGACCAAGGACCACGCCGTGGATCTGATCCAGAAAGGTTCTGGGTGCAAGGGCAAGCAGGAGGGGGGCCAGGAAAGGACAGTTACTGGAAGATGGACAGCCCAGGAGGCTACAGAGGGAAAGAAAGGGGGCCCCTGATGAGGATGGGGAGCATGGCCTTGGGCTCAAACAGCAGAAGGGTGAGTGTCACCTGAGCGGCCACCTCTCCTCTCCAAGGCTACATGCGGATCCAGCAGTTTCGGAAGGCGGATGGTTCCTATGCGGCTTGGTTGTCACGGGACAGCAGCACCTGGTGAGCTTGGGAGAGTGGTTCCAGGGTTCTGAGGGGGTCAGGGCTGGGGCAGGGGTGGGACAGAGCTGGTATGATGGGAGGGTGGATAACCAGGCACCTGGGGGCGTGGGCATAATGAGAAGCAAGTCCTTATCCCCAACCCTCCTTTCCTGCCCTCCAGGCTCACAGCCTTTGTGTTGAAGGTCCTGAGTTTGGCCCAGGAGCAGGTAGGAGGCTCGCCTGAGAAACTGCAGGAGACATCTAACTGGCTTCTGTCCCAGCAGCAGGCTGACGGCTCGTTCCAGGACCCCTGTCCAGTGTTAGACAGGAGCATGCAGGTGCGGGCATGCTGGGGCTGGCCCGAGAAGCGCCTGTCGGAGGACTCTCTTTGCCCCTTCCCCCTCCTGTTTGACATCTTTTCTCCCCTTACTAGGGGGGTTTGGTGGGCAATGATGAGACTGTGGCACTCACAGCCTTTGTGACCATCGCCCTTCATCATGGGCTGGCCGTCTTCCAGGATGAGGGTGCAGAGCCATTGAAGCAGAGAGTGGTAAGTTCAGTGGCGTTTCTGCCCTCTGCTGGCCCCCAGCTCTCTCCCTTTTTCCTCAGGAACCCAGGGGTCCAGGCCCAAGACCCTCCTCCCGTTTTCTTCCAGGAAGCCTCCATCTCAAAGGCAAACTCATTTTTGGGGGAGAAAGCAAGTGCTGGGCTCCTGGGTGCCCACGCAGCTGCCATCACGGCCTATGCCCTGACACTGACCAAGGCGCCTGTGGACCTGCTCGGTGTTGCCCACAACAACCTCATGGCAATGGCCCAGGAGACTGGAGGTGAGGGGTGAGGCGCTCCTGGCAGTGAGCCTGAGGCCCAGGGGACCTTAGGATCCCTGAGTGTGCCCAGAGGGAGAGGCTGGATGAAGACTCAGAGGAGGAATGAAGTTATAAGCAGGGGTGGGTTGGGGGAGACTCAGGAGAGCCCAGCAGGGGGTGGCTAAGGGCCAGGGGACCAGGCTCTTCTCCCTGCCTTCCTGTTTACTTGTGGTCTCCCTTCACTTTCAGATAACCTGTACTGGGGCTCAGTCACTGGTTCTCAGAGCAATGCCGTGTCGCCCACCCCGGCTCCTCGCAACCCATCCGACCCCATGCCCCAGGCCCCAGCCCTGTGGATTGAAACCACAGCCTACGCCCTGCTGCACCTCCTGCTTCACGAGGGCAAAGCAGAGATGGCAGACCAGGCTGCGGCCTGGCTCACCCGTCAGGGCAGCTTCCAAGGGGGATTCCGCAGTACCCAAGTAGGGGCCGTCCCCGGGCTCTGGGGGGGGTGGGTAGTCCTCAGACCAAGGGCTTGCTTGAGTCCTGGCTCAACCTCCCTAGGACACGGTGATTGCCCTGGATGCCCTGTCTGCCTACTGGATTGCCTCCCACACCACTGAGGAGAGGGGTCTCAATGTGACTCTCAGCTCCACAGGCCGGAATGGGTTCAAGTCCCACGCGCTGCAGCTGAACAACCGCCAGATTCGCGGCCTGGAGGAGGAGCTGCAGGTGAACCACTCCCTGGTGAACCACTCCCTCGCCTGGGTAGCCAGGACACCTGGGCCTCGTGGCCAGGCCAGAAGCCGTCCCCACCCTCCCACCCGTGGAATCCCCGCAGCACTTCTTCCTGGGGTCTTCGGGGGAAGACTGACTTCCTGGCTGCGTGACCTGGAGCTCTGAGCTTCAGTTTTCTCACTTGTAGAGTAACATACACAGAGTTCACCCTACAGGGTCGTTAGAAGGCTGAAGTGAGATAATTCATGTGCTGGTATAAACTTTGTGGAAATGTGAGGTGGGGAGAGGAGGTGGGGCTGTTTTGAGGAAGGAGATAAGTTATTGGAGCCGCAAAAACAGGTTTGCTTGTGCCCTTCTAACATCGCCTTCCCTTTTCTGTTGCTGAAGTTTTCCTTGGGCAGCAAGATCAATGTGAAGGTGGGAGGAAACAGCAAAGGAACCCTGAAGGTGAGGGCCAGGGAAGGGGTGGGGCCAGGCACTGGTGGAGGAGAGGGTGTGGAGTGAGAGGCCTGTGGGCAGAGGCACATGGTCCGGGGAAGGAGGCAGACACCTCAGGGTTGGTGTCCCGTGCTTCCGTCCTGGGTGTTTTTCCCCCTGCTTGCTTTCGCTTGCTCTCCCCATCTCTGGGTACCTGTTGTTTCCTTTACCCGCCTCAGTGCTGGTGGCTCCGAATCCCACTCCTCAGCCCAGGCCTCTTCCCTGAACCATGGGCCCCACTCGTCCCACTCCCACAGCACCTCAGACGAGGCATGTCCCAAAGCCCTTCTTCATTCTGTGTCTCTTGTCTGGCTGGTGGGAGCCCCTCCCAGCCAGGAGCCCAGCCACTACTCTAGAGGCCGTGTTAGTGGCCCCTCTCCCAAGCCTGTCCTTATGTCCCTAGTGACTCCTCCTCTGCTCCCCTGCTGCCTGTGGCCCTTGGTGCTGCATCCTAGATTCTGTGCTGAGACGGCCTTCTCCCTACCTGGAACTTCTCTCTACCTCCTGTCTCCCCTGTCTGATCCACTGTCCACACGGCAGTGACACTGACCTTCCAAAAGCCCCAGCCAGATCAGCCTTGGGGAAAAGTCACTCCCCGCTGCCCACGGCTCAGATGGCTGGGCCTCTGCCCACCCCTCCGGCCAGACAGCTCTCCTTGTCTACACAGATCCCCTTGCCTTTCCTGTCCTTCCCTGCTTCTTGGCCCACAGGACAAGCTCTTTCTTCTCCTTCAAGCCTTGGCCAGAAGCCTTTCCTGAGCTTTTCAGTCCAGCCTCTTCCCAGCACAGTCTGGAGTGTTGGCCTCTGGGGGCAGGCCCCTGCTTCTTTACCTCTCTGTCTCGCCTGACGCCTGTGGCGAATGTGGTGCCACTCGTGTGTGTGGACTGTGCAGTGACGGGGAGGAAAAGGGGCTGAAGGCCTCAAATCCTGTAGCCCAGGGAGATGCCCTTAGGTATGGCACCAGAGAGGTCTGTGGCCTCACATGTCCCACGTCCTCTCCCTGCCCCTTGCTGAGCCAGGTCCTTCGTACCTACAATGTCCTGGACATGAAGAACACGACCTGCCAGGACCTACAGATAGAAGTGACAGTCAAAGGCCACGTCGAGTACACGAGTGAGTGTGGGGGTTGGGAGGCCTTGGGGCCAGGCAGGGGCTGGCGCAGGGAGCCGGGTGGCCATCCCAGCCCTCCTCACAATGCTTCCCTGTGCAGTGGAAGCAAACGAGGACTATGAGGACTATGAGTACGATGAGCTTCCAGCCAAGGATGACCCAGATGCCCCTCTGCAGCCCGTGACACCCCTGCAGCTGTTTGAGGGTCGGAGGAACCGCCGCAGGAGGGAGGCGCCCAAGGTGGTGGAGGAGCAGGAGTCCAGGGTGCACTACACCGTGTGCATCTGGTGGGCGCCGGGAGCTGCCCTGGGCCAGGGGAGGGAGGGCAGGACCCAGGCTGGGGCTGGGCTTCTGGAGCCCGCGCAGGCAGAACCTGGACGACAGCTCACACGTCTCCACAGGCGGAACGGCAAGGTGGGGCTGTCTGGCATGGCCATCGCGGACGTCACCCTCCTGAGTGGATTCCACGCCCTGCGTGCTGACCTGGAGAAGGTGTGGTCAGCCACCCAGGGCAACCCCCTCTGTCCCAGGTACTGAGCCCTGTCATGTGCAGGGCCTGTGACCAACTCCCCTTTTCCACAGCTGACCTCCCTCTCTGACCGTTACGTGAGTCACTTTGAGACCGAGGGGCCCCACGTCCTGCTGTATTTTGACTCGGTGAGTGGGGAGAGATGAGGCAGGAAGGGACTCGATGGCACCGGGTTTACTGAGTATGCGTTAGGAGGTTTCTCAGGAGACAGCTGTGTCAGCGGCTGGTGCTCTTGAGAACTTGTGATGTCATCAGAGAGAAGGACAAGAATGTGAGCCCGTGAGACACAGCAGAGTAAGGGGCAGACCTGCAGGCGGCAGGGACCGATGCCAGTCAGCAGGGACCCTCAGGGTTTGAGAGGGAGTCTTTCCTAATGCTGGTTTTATTCAGCTTGAGGGGCTGCCTTTGTTTTTTTGTTGAACTTCCTATCTTTTTTTTAATATTAAAGCGTATTTTCCTTTACAAAGTGATGGTGGCCATAGATGATAGTTGTATTTGTCTTTTCACGACCTTATTTGGCTAAAATAGTTATCAACCCTCTTACGGCTCTCAAAACATTTTTATTTATTTATTTAGTAAAGACAGGGTCTCGCTCTGTTGCCCAGGCTGGTCTTGAACTCCCGGCCTCAAGCGATCCTCTGGCCTAGGCCTTTCAAAGTACCGGATTTACAGGCCAGAGCCACCATGCCCGGCCTTCAAAAAAAGTTTTGGAACATTTACTGTAACCTCTGGGAGAAAATGTGAGAAAGGTGTGGTGGCTGTCATTAGCCAGCTGTTTGTAGGTCAGGGAGACCCCTACCCAGTGTGTGCAGAGGGGCCAGCCCCCATCAGCTGGGGAAGCCTGGCTGACACATCTGGGTTGAACACAATAGAAAACACAGAGCCAACAAGATTCCCGGATAGGGAGCTGACGGTGCAGCAGCCTAGCTCAGGAGGGACACTGGCACGGCACCGTGTGGACTGGGCCCGCGTGGGCACGAGGAGGGGTCAGGCCTGGGACCTGAGTCGGGGGGTCAGGCAGGATGACAGAACCTGCAGTTAGGTTGTGGCAAATAAAGGAGGACCCAGTTGTATCCATGACAAAGATGAGGCCGCGAGGAGGGCGAGTGGGTTTGGGGGCAGGCAGAGTGCCTTGGAGAACTTACAGGTCCTGCCACAATCCTAATGCAAGGATGGAGCTGCAAGTTCAGTTTGGGAATCATCAGCCTGGATTGGTTTGGTGGAAGCCAGGGAGTGGTTGAGACCCCCACAGGGGAGCTCTGAGGAAGGAAGTTCCGAAGGAGGGAACGTAAGAAATGACCAGGTCAGAACCAAGGGTGGTCCAGAAGCTAACCCTTAGCTTAGGGACAGTTTCACAGAGAACACGTCCATGATGCAAGACTCTGCTGAGGGCCTGGAGCAGTGAAGACTGGGGCAAGGTCACCCTCTGGGAAGTGAAGTCACCAGAGACCTTGCGGAGCAGCTTTGAGAGTTCTCTGAGTAGGAAGGTAACAGAATGTGAAGGACACTGGAGAGAAGGCCAATAGGAAGCAAACAAAAACAGGCCAAGGAAACCCAGTACAGGGGGCTGCAGGGCCCAGGGAGTGGGTCCCTCATCTCTCCTCCCCACGCTTGGCCAGGTCCCCACCTCCCGGGAGTGCGTGGGCTTTGAGGCTGTGCAGGAAGTGCCGGTGGGGCTGGTGCAGCCGGCCAGCGCAACCCTGTACGACTACTACAACCCCGGTGAGCACTGCAGGACACCCTGAAATTCAGGAGAACTTTGGCATAGGTGCCCTCCTATGGGACAATGGACACCGGGGTAGTGAGGGGGCAGAGAGCCCTGGGGCTCCCTGGGACTGAGGAGGCAGAATGGAGGGGCCTGTGCCCTAACTCCTCTCTGTTCTCCAGAGCGCAGATGTTCTGTGTTTTACGGGGCACCAAGTAAGAGCAGACTCTTGGCCACCTTGTGTTCTGCTGAAGTCTGCCAGTGTGCTGAGGGTGAGACTGAGGGCCTGGGGCGGGGCAGTGGAGGCGGGATGGCCGGGGCCCCCCCCACACTGTCTGATGGGTTCCCCAACTTCAGGGAAGTGCCCTCGCCAGCGTCGCGCCCTGGAGCGGGGTCTGCAGGACGAGGATGGCTACAGGATGAAGTTTGCCTGCTACTACCCCCGTGTGGAGTACGGTCAGTCTTCCCACCGAGGCCCTGGCCTGACCCTCCCTCGGGGACCGGCCGTTTTGGTCTCTCTGGGTGTAGCCTGCTCCTCTTACAGGTCATGCACGCAGCCTGTTTGCTCTGACACCAACTTCCTACCCTCTCAGCCTCAAAGTAACTCACCTTTCCCCCTTCTCCTCACCCCCTCTTAGGCTTCCAGGTTAAGGTTCTCCGAGAAGACAGCAGAGCTGCTTTCCGCCTCTTTGAGACCAAGATCACCCAAGTCCTGCACTTCAGTATGAAGCAAACCGGAGAGGCGGGCAGGGCTGGGGGGAGACAGGGAGGCTGAGGTGTGGCCGAGGACCTGACCATCTGGAAGTGTGAAAATCCCCTTGGGCTGTCAGAAGCCTTGGGCTTGGCCATAAATAGGGAGGCAGTGGCACCTCTCCATGGGGGTGGCGAAGGTGGAATGAGAGGATCTACACAGAGTCCCCAGCCTGGGCTCACCCTGCACCTTCTCTTCCCCTCTGACCACTTTTGCGCACGTCATCCCCGCAGCCAAGGATGTCAAGGCCGCTGCTAATCAGATGCGCAACTTCCTGGTTCGAGCCTCCTGCCGCCTTCGCTTGGAACCTGGGAAAGAATATTTGATCATGGGTCTAGATGGGGCCACCTATGACCTCGAGGGACAGTGAGTCATCTGGTCCCCTCAGTCTCTTGTCCTCCCCATGCCTCGCCACCTAGGCCTTGCCCCTCAGAAGCCAGATGCCTGTGCTCTCCGTTTCCACCTGCCATCCTCCCGAGCCCTGCTGACTGCCCCTTTGCCCCCTGCAGCCCCCAGTACCTGCTGGACTCGAATAGCTGGATCGAGGAGATGCCCTCTGAACGCCTGTGCCGGAGCACCCGCCAGCGGGCAGCCTGTGCCCAGCTCAACGACTTCCTCCAGGAGTATGGCACTCAGGGGTGCCAGGTGTGAGGGCTGCCCTCCCACCTCCGCTGGGAGGAACCTGAACCTGGGAACCATGAAGCTGGAAGCACTGCTGTGTCCGCTTTCATGAACACAGCCTGGGACCAGGGCATATTAAAGGCTTTTGGCAGCAAAGTGTCAGTGTTGGCAGCGAAGTGTCAGTGTGTGTTGCTAGGGCTGAGAGCAGTGCCCCTGCCCGATGCAGTTCTGGGCAGGCCAGGTTGACATAACCTTAGACTCTCTGAGCCCTGATGACCCTTGGGCTGTTCAGCTCTGCTAGAACCTCCCAGATGACCCGCTAGGAGTCTAGTGCTTCACAGGACCACCCCGAGCAGAACTGGGACCCAAGAGCCTGCACCCCAAGGACCAGAGTCCATGCCAAGACCACCCTTCAGCTTCCAAGGCCCTCCACTGCCCGGCTGTCGCCAGTCACCACGGCCTCAGACAGGGCTTGTGCTCAGCTGACACCTGTGACACAGCTCTTCTGCCTCATGAGCTGTTGTCCAGCTACACCTCCCCGACTCTGTCCTCGTGCTGCTGGCGGTTCTGAGGTCTGCAGATTTTAGCTGAGTTCCGGGCTGTTGAAAGCCTGCTGACGCTTGGTTCTGTTATCAGTGGAATGAGGTGACTTTCCCGGAGTTGTGCAATCCTCAGGTCCGGCAGTGTCTTCTTCCAGTTACTGGTTTCAAACAAGCCAAAAGTCTGACTTTGGTGTGTTTGTGAATCCTCTGAGGAAGCCGCTGTTCTCCTGGGGTCTCCCCTTCCCACCGGACCTGCCTAACTTTCCCCCATTTAGTGGCACACCTGGGGTCTTCAGAGATGACTCCGCGTCTGTCCAAAGAAGTTTGGTGAGATCAGTTTCCGTAGAGGTCATGACAGTTCAGCAGCCTGCCATCCAGTCATTCGACAGAAATTCGGGAATCTTTCACTTCATGCCATGCCCTGTGCCAGGTGCCAGAGATACAGCTGCTCACTCCAGGGCTCATCGCTGGGGAGACAGATAAGAGGACGGGCAGTCCCCACCCTCTGTGAAAGATGTGATGTCAGGGAGCAGTGTGGTCCTGTGGGGCATCTAACCAAGTCAGGGGCATTGCCAGGCAGGGACAGGGAAGGCTTCCTGGAGCAGGTGGCCTCCAAGTGGGGCTCTGAAGACTGAGAAGGAGCCAGGCAAAGAGCAGGGGTAGATGAGGGCATCTGGGGCAGAAGGAGAATATACAAAGGCCCAGAGGCCGGGGGCAGGACAGGGTACCTTTGGGGACATTGCATGTAATTGACCACATTCGGAGTTTGGATTTGGAAGTGGTGGAAGAGATGGAGATGGTGAGACAAGTAGTAAGCACGTCAGCCTTCCAGGTGCGCTCCTTTCCGATGAGCACTGTCTTATCCCACGTAACTTTGAGAAGTTTGGGCCTTTCCCACTGTGGCAGAGGTTTCCTGAGGCTCTTGCATACATGGCCCTATGGTTGCTCATCAGATCTTTCTCCCAGTAGCTGCTCAGCATGGTGGTGGCATAAGCCCATTTTCCGGAGCCAGGGATTCAGTTGCAGCAAGACATGGCCCGGTCTGGGAGGTCAACCATGAAGAAGGCAGTAGCTGTCATTGCCCAACCCCAGAAATCCCAATCCTGTTTTCTCCCTCTCAGTCCTGATCATGGATTCAGCAGCAGCGAACTCGCCAATGTAGTGGGTGGCACAGCCAGGGTCTTGACTCTGGCTCTGCAGTAGCACAGTCTGGAAAAGCTCTGAGGGGAGAGAGACCCCCACTGGTCCGAGGGTCTGGCACAGAGCCAGAAATGGGGGGGAAGGTATGAGGCTGGGTCGCCTCTGACCTCTCAGGTACCATCCAGGAGGCCCTGGCCTCTCACTGAACCCGGCCACTCCTCTTTGGCATGGCCTCTTCCCAAATCCCCAAACTGCCTCCTTACCCACAAAAGTGGTCTCTGAGTGTCAGTCCAGTGGGACCCCCACCCCTTATGGCTTCAGTTCCCCAAATAGGGCTGGACCCTTGATCCTGATCCAGCTGTGGCTATCCAGCCCCTTCCTGGGGACTTTGGACTTTGAGGGGGGCATGCCCAGTTGTGCTGGGAATCCATACTTTCCCTGGCTGGAGTAGAACCTGTGGACTGTAGTCCTGAGGGCAGTCATGTTCTGCCTGTGCCTGGAAACACAAGAAACTTGACTGCAGAGAGAAGAAAGAGGAGAGAGGAACAGAGCGAGGAAACCGCCCGTCTCCGGGGCTTTTTCTGTTCCCTATCCTTGACTTTCTAAGACCAGTGGGGTCCCCTCCTCTGCTTCTTTTTCCTGAGTTCTGTGAAATTCCCCAATTCTTATTTTTTATCTCAAACCAGCTCAAGGTGGGCTGTTTTCCTTTCAACCAAAGAAAGGTGCTCCTGGTGGCTAAAGGTACATATTCGACAGCTAGATTTCCAGGCTGGAATCCTGCCCTCCACAACATGCGAACAATACCCGTGTTGCATATAGAGCATGGCTGTGAAGAGTTGAGTGAGTGCCCACAAAGCACTTAGAGCAGTGTCTGGTACATGCTATTACTCCGCAGCGGGAAACCACTTCCTCCTTTGTCTTCTGGGCACTTTTGTGAGTGAAAGGAGGCACTAATAACAATCACACTGGGATACCTGTATATACTGGAATGCCCCAGGCAAACCAGGCTTAAACTGTATTACTCTATCTGTAGCTTAAACTAACAAACAACCCACACAAATCACATTTTGTTCTTCAGGCGATTCAGGAAGGCCTATTAGGCAGGGACTGCCATTTTCTCTCTGAGACAAACATCATGCCAGTAAACTGGCCCACGGTGGGGTGGCAGAGGGAGAGGGCCCAGGTGGGGGCGGACACTATTGCCTGCACAGTTGATGTGGAACCAGAAAGCTGACTCTGGATGCAGGAAAAAGGTCAGGGTTGCATTTCCCTTCCTTGCTTCTTGATGGGTGATCAATTTTTTTGAAATACGGACGTCCCAAGGCCAATGAGACTGGTGTCATTCCAGAAAAGGGCCACTCTGTGGGCGGGTCGGTGGGAGGGTACCTGAAGGTGGGGTCAAGGGAGGCCCCAAAACAGTCTACACAGCAGGAGGGATGGCTGGGGCTCTTGAGCTATAAGTGGCACCTCAGGGCCCTGACGGGCGTCTCGCCATGCTGCTCCTGGGCCTGCTGCTGCTGCCCCTGCTGGCTGGCGCCCGCCTGCTGTGGAACTGGTGGAAGCTCCGGAGCCTCCACCTCCCGCCTCTTGCCCCGGGCTTCTTGCACTTGCTGCAGCCCGACCTCCCAATCTATCTGCTTGGCCTGACTCAGAAATTCGGGCCCATCTACAGGCTCCACCTTGGGCTGCAAGGTGAGAGGCTGATCTCGCTCTGGCCCTCACCATAGGAGGGGGCGGAGGTGACGGAGAGGGTCCTCTCTCCGCTGACGCTGCTTTGGCTGTCTCCCAGATGTGGTGGTGCTGAACTCCAAGAGGACCATTGAGGAAGCCATGGTCAAAAAGTGGGCAGACTTTGCTGGCAGACCTGAGCCACTTACCTGTAAGGGCTGGGGGCATTTTTTCTTTCTTAAACAAATTTTTTTTTAAGAGATGGGTTCTTGCTATGTTGCCCAGGCTGGTCTTAAATTCCTAGTCTCAAATGATCCTCCCACCTCAGCCTCAAGTGTGAGCCACCTTTGGGGCATCCCCAATCCAGGTCCCTGGAAGCTCTTGGGGGGCATATCTGGTGGGGAGAAAGCAGGGGTTGGGGAGGCCGAAGAAGGTCAGGCCCTCAGCTGCCTTCATCAGTTCCCACCCTCCAGCCCCCACCTCCTCCTGCAGACAAGCTGGTGTCTAAGAACTACCCGGACCTGTCCTTGGGAGACTACTCCCTGCTCTGGAAAGCCCACAAGAAGCTCACCCGCTCAGCCCTGCTGCTGGGCATCCGTGACTCCATGGAGCCAGTGGTGGAGCAGCTGACCCAGGAGTTCTGTGAGGTAAGGCTGGGCTCCTGAGGCCACCTCGGGTCAGCCTCGCCTCTCACAGTAGCCCCCGCCCTGCCCGCTGCACAGCGGCCTGCTGAACTCACACTGTTTCTCCACAGCGCATGAGAGCCCAGCCCGGCACCCCTGTGGCCATTGAGGAGGAATTCTCTCTCCTCACCTGCAGCATCATCTGTTACCTCACCTTCGGAGACAAGATCAAGGTGCCTCACAGCCCCTCAGGCCCACCCCCAGCCCCTCCCTGAGCCTCTCCTTGTCCTGAACTGAAAGTACTCCCTCCTTTTCTGGCAGGACGACAACTTAATGCCTGCCTATTACAAATGTATCCAGGAGGTGTTAAAAACCTGGAGCCACTGGTCCATCCAAATTGTGGACGTGATTCCCTTTCTCAGGGTGAGGACCTGGAGCCTAGACACCCCTGGGTTGTAGGGGAGAGGCTGGGGTGGAGGGAGAGGCTCCTTCCCACAGCTGCATTCTCATGCTTCCTGCCGCAGTTCTTCCCCAATCCAGGTCTCCGGAGGCTGAAGCAGGCCATAGAGAAGAGGGATCACATCGTGGAGATGCAGCTGAGGCAGCACAAGGTGGGGACTGTACGTGGACGGCCTCCCCTCGGCCCACAGCCAGTGATGCTACCGGCCTCAGCATTGCTATGAGGCGGGTTCTTTTGCATACCCCAGTTATGGGCCTGTTGCCACTCTGTACTCCTCTCCCCAGGCCAGCCGCTCAGCCCGCTCCTTTCACCCTCTGCAGGAGAGCCTCGTGGCAGGCCAGTGGAGGGACATGATGGACTACATGCTCCAAGGGGTGGCGCAGCCGAGCATGGAAGAGGGCTCTGGACAGCTCCTGGAAGGGCACGTGCACATGGCTGCAGTGGACCTCCTGATCGGTGGCACTGAGACCACAGCAAACACCCTCTCCTGGGCCGTGGTTTTTTTGCTTCACCACCCTGAGGTGCGTCCTGGGGACAAGCAAAAGGCTCCTTCCCAGCAACCTGGCCAGGGCGGTGGGCACCCTCACTCAGCTCTGAGCACTGTGCGGCTGGGGCTGTGCTTGCCTCACCGGCACTCAGGCTCACTGGGTTGCTGAGGGAGCGGCTGGAGGCTGGGCAGCTGTGGGCTGCTGGGGCAGGACTCCACCCGATCATTCCCCAGATTCAGCAGCGACTGCAGGAGGAGCTAGACCACGAACTGGGCCCTGGTGCCTCCAGCTCCCGGGTCCCCTACAAGGACCGTGCACGGCTGCCCTTGCTCAATGCCACCATCGCCGAGGTGCTGCGCCTGCGGCCCGTTGTGCCCTTAGCCTTGCCCCACCGCACCACACGGCCCAGCAGGTGACTCCCGAGGGTTGGGGATGAGTGAGGAAAGCCCGAGCCCAGGGAGGTCCTGGCCAGCCTCTAACTCCAGCCCCCTTCAGCATCTCCGGCTACGACATCCCTGAGGGCACAGTCATCATTCCGAACCTCCAAGGCGCCCACCTGGATGAGACGGTCTGGGAGAGGCCACATGAGTTCTGGCCTGGTATGTGGGGGGCCGGGGGCCTGCCGTGAAAATGTGGTGGAGGCTGGTCCCCGCTGCCGCTGAACGCCTCCCCACCCACCTGTCCACCCGCCCGCAGATCGCTTCCTGGAGCCAGGCAAGAACTCCAGAGCTCTGGCCTTCGGCTGCGGTGCCCGCGTGTGCCTGGGCGAGCCGCTGGCGCGCCTGGAGCTCTTCGTGGTGCTGACCCGACTGCTGCAGGCCTTCACGCTGCTGCCCTCCGGGGACGCCCTGCCCTCCCTGCAGCCCCTGCCCCACTGCAGTGTCATCCTCAAGATGCAGCCTTTCCAAGTGCGGCTGCAGCCCCGGGGGATGGGGGCCCACAGCCCAGGCCAGAACCAGTGATGGGGCAGGACCGATGCCAGCCGGGTACCTCAGTTTCTCCTTTATTGCTCCCGTACGAACCCCTCCCCTCCCCCCTGTAAACACAGTGCTGCGAGATCGCTGGCAGAGAAGGCTTCCTCCAGCGGCTGGGTGGTGAAGGACCCTGGCTCTTCTCTCGGGGCGACCCCTCAGTGCTCGGCAGTCATACTGGGGTGCGAGAGAGGTGGGCAGCAGCTCAGCCTCCCCCCGCTGGGGAGCGAAAGTTTCTTGGTCTCAGCTTCATTTCCGTGAAGGGCACCGAGAACTCGAAGCCCTTCCAGTGGTACCAGCTCACTCCCTGGGAAAGGGGTTGTCAAGAGAGAGTCAAAGCCGGATGTCCCATCTGCTCTTCCCGTTCCCCTTAAGGAGGTAGCTCCCAGCACTCAACCAACCTCCCCGCAGAGCTCCCTTCCTGACCCTCCGCTGCAGAGGATTGAGGCTTAATTCTGAGCTGGCCCTTTCCAGCCAATAAATCAACTCCAGCTCCCTCTGCGAGGCTGGCATGATTGTTCCATTTCACCCAGCCGCTCAGTCCCTTGCCTGTTACACTGTGGGGCTGAAACCTAGGCAGGCCGAGCCCCAGCCACCCCAGCTCTGAGCCGCCTCCCCACCCCTCACCTGATGGTCCACTGTGCTCCCGTAGAGCCCGTTGAGGTTGGCGTAGTGGCAGTTCCTGTACCACCAGGCCCCTCGGTAGGAGACAGCGCAGGAGATGAGCAAGCTGTTGGGGTCCCGATCACGGGCAGAGAAGACACTGCCGCTGTGGTAGCTCATGGAGTCCCCTGGGCAGGGTGGAGGAAGGAGCCATGAGGGCCTCCCCTCCCAGCCTCACCCTCCCAGCCTCACAGCCTCTGCTTACCTGCGGTGCCGTGGTAGCCCTCCAAGTGGAGGCGGTAGTACTCCGCAGCCGAGTCTACGTGGAAGGAGTCGTACTGGGCGAACACAGCCTCGTCCCCAGCCCGCAGGTCCACGCGCATGGAGTAGTCACCTGCCTGTGTCAGGCTGTGCAGGGCCTCATTGCCTGGGGGTGGGATACGTGCCCTCATCAGGGTCCTGGTGTCCACAGGGCCCCCATCCCCATCCGTAGTTCCCCAGTCCCTGTGAGGCACTGACCCAGCCAGAACTCTCCAGAGATGTTCCCAAAACCATGGGCATAGTCCTCCCAGTCCCTCCAGAAGTCTGTCTGTCCATCCATGCGGCGCTGGAACACCTGGGAAGCAAGTGGGGGCACCATCAGCCTCTGGCTCCCGGGGCAACAGACCCTGCCCTGCACAGACCCCTGGGCTTCCCAATGCCACCCACCAGCCAGCCGCCCCCATCAGTCTCCATGTCGCAAAACACGATCAGGGGCCGCTCGCGGTTGCCGTTGAGGAAGATGGTGCTGGTCCTGGAGGCACCGGCTCCGTTCTGCATCTCCTCCCCGCAGTCCCTGGGGAAGGGGATCCGCAGCCCACCTGGGAGAGGAGAGCAGGGGCCAGTCCTTTTCCAAGCCTTAGGCCCTGGCTGCCCACCCAGCCCCCGGCCCCGGGCCCGTGCGTCCAGGTACCCGTGGTGAAAGAGGTGGACACGGGCGGCAGGAGGCTCTGGCCCCACATGGCCTGGAGCCGTGCATTGTAGGAGGTGGAGGGAAAGAGGCCAAGGAGCTGGTGAGATGTGATCCCTCCTGGGAGCAGGATCTCCTGTGGGACAGACAAGGGGGGGTCAGGGGAGAGGGAGGTGGAGACCCTCCGGGAGGGCCAGAGGCAGCACCTCCTGGAATCACCCAGGGAGGGGAGTTGGGTCAGTGGGGCCGGGGCACCTGGGTCTGTCCACCAGGGGTGTGGAAGCTGAGCAGGTAGCCTGCGGGCCGGACTGGGGGCTCAGTCCAAGTGAGCAGGGCGGTGCGGGGGGTCACTTCCTTGGCCTCCAAGTCCCGAGGGGCCTCTAGCCCTAGGAGGGAAAGCAGGAAGAGGAGATGGGGATGAGGCCCAACCTGGCTCCCTCTACCTCCTCTCCCTGTCCCACACACCCCACAGACCCTACCTGTGGTGAAGGTGATGCTGGCTGGGGAAGTGAGGTTGGGGCCCCGCAGGCCACGCACTGTGGCGGTGTAGTTGGTGTGGAGGACAAGGTCATGCAGGGGGTAGTCCACCGCGCTGCCTGGGGTCTCCGCCTGCAGAGGCGGGGCTGGGAGTGTAGAGAGGGGCATCAAGGCCTGCCCCCTCCATCCTCGGCCAGAGTCCAGCCTCCCCCCTGCAATCCCCACCCTGAACAAGTCCCCTCCAGAGGCCTCAGCCCTGCTCACCCCCAGGGGCTGTGACCTGGATGTCATAGGTGTCTACAGGATTCTGGGGGGGCTTCCAGTGCAGCACGGCGAATCCCTCGGTCAAGTTCAGTGCACGCAACTGTGTGGGACCGTCAGGAACTGGGGGAAGGGGAGGGGCTCAGAGGGGTCCCCGCGGCTCTCTCTACTCCGTGCCTCCCCAGACTCCACTGGCCTCCCGTCCGCAATCGGAGCCTCCACCACCTCCCTTTCACCCTCCTCGTTCTCTCTCAACTCCCACCCATGCCGTTTTCTTGGCTCCCACCTCTTGCCCCGGGTCCCAGTCCATCTCACCCGTGGTGAGGAAGCCTGTGAGAGGCTCACTCTCCTCAAAGCCTCGGACCGAGACCACGGTCACCTCATAGCGAGCGCCTGGGATCAGCCCCTGGAGTTTCTGGGTCCGGGCCTGGCCATCCACCTGCACACTCTGAGGCTCCCCTGAAAACATTGGGGATCGAGGGTTACCCAGGGAACCCCAGGGCGGCTGGAGGGTGGGCAGAGTGCAGGGGGGAGAGGAAATGCGAGGCGATGAGCACATGGCAAAGGCACCACCTCCGTCCGCCAGCTGGTAGGAGACTTTGAAGCTGTCCGCCCGGGATGGTGGGGGCATCCAGTTGACCTTGGCTGAGGTCTCCCTGATTTCACTGAATTGGAGGTCACGGGGGCTCTCCAGAACTGCAGAGGGGTCAAGGAACAATGACGCAGGCAGGGGCAGGGAGGCTTCTCCCTACGAGTCCCCCCCTCGCCTCTGCTCCAGCACAGGCTCACCACCCCTTTTCCTCTAGTCCCCAGGAATGGAAGTCGCTCTGCAGATTCCTCCAGGCCCACCACCAACTCGCCCACCCCCACCGCTGGCTGAGGCACTAGGTCCCCCCCGTGAAGTACAAAGACCCCCACTTTGGGGCAGAGTGTGTGTGGGTCCTTACCTGGGCTGAGGGTGCGGGCGGTTCCCTGGATGCTGTCGGCCTTGTGGGGTCCTCGCAGCCCATACAGTGTCAGGCTGTACAGAGTCCCGGAACGCAGGTCCCGGAGCACGGCCGAGTGCCGCGTCCCCGGCACCATCAGCTCGCGCTGCAGCAGTGGACGCGGATGCGGCTCCAGTGTGCTTGGTGATGGAACCCCAAAGCGGAGCAGGAAGGAGTCGAAGGCCCCCGGTGGGGCCTCCCAGTTGAGCCTCAGTGAACTGGTGGTCACGTCAGTCACAGACAGCTGGGACAGGCGGGGCCTTGACTCCTCTGAGGTCTGACCAGCAGGAGCCAGCCCTGCACGGAGTGGGTGGGGGAGAAGGGATTGGAGACAGAAGCACACCAGCTTGGTGACCCAGAGCACGTCCCTTCCACCCCCCTCCCTGCCCCCGTTTCTCTATCTGTAACCAGGGACTTGCAGCCACAGGGGGGTCCTGTGGGGCAGAGCTAAAGGCCACTCGCATCCAGCCCATCCATCCTCTCTCCCTGGTACCCGCCTCACGCTCTTTCCCTGCGACCACCCCTTCTGAGCCCCCGTTTCTCCCTTCTGAGTCCTAGGCTAGAGGCCGGAGACGCCTGGTGGTACCTGTGGTGCCCTCAGCTGAGAGGGGCCCCAGGCGCTTCCCTTCATGGAGGCCATAGAGGAGGAACCTGTAGGGGGTGCTGGGCTCCAGGCCTGAGATGAGGATCTTGCTCTGGTCGCCGTCCACGAGCAAGGCCTGGGGCTGCCCGTTCGTGTCCTCATACTGGACCACGAAGGAATCAAAGGGGCCCTGGGCCACGCTCCACGAGAGGCGCATGGAGTCTGGGGTTGTGTCGGTCACGGTCAGCACTCCTAGGCGGGGCTCTTCAGGAGGCTCAGGGGCCTCTGGGGCTAACTCTGGGGCTGGTGTGTCCTCTTCTGGGGCTGCGTGGGAGAAGCCCAGGGGAGAATCTGAGTGAGGGGCGCCATGGGGTGCTCCATTTTTATCTTCCAGGCTTGGCCCAAGGCTGAGGTGGGAAGTTTATAGGTCCAGGCCCAGTCAGACAATGAAGTCGCTGTGGCCTCGTGACTCCTGCGAGCTCCCGCGCTGTCTGAGTCAGGTGCTCGCTTCCCCCTTCCACACCCCGGTGTCCTGCCGAGCCCACCTCGAGATATCACAGGCTCTGGCCCCACCCATGCCGGGATACATTCACTGAGCTTGAGGAGTGTGGTGCTCCCTTCTGAGAGAAGCTGAGGGTGGAACTGGCTGGTTGAGGTGACTGGCAAATCCCACCAGCCGTGCCGTGGTCAGGCCTGTCTGAGGTGGGCATCAGCGAGCTCTGGAAGAGGAGCCTGTACCACAAATGCAGCCACTGCTGTTGGTTTCTGTGTCCCCGCTCATTTTGTTTTCCAGTGATGTTCCTCTTAAGAAAATGCTCCTGACTCATCCACGGCAGGGAGGTTTGCCGCTATCTGGACAAGGCCACCCTTCGGGGAGGCGACAGCAGCCCCAGCGAGTAATGAGGAGCAGCGGCAGTGACGGGGCAGAGTCGGGGCTGGGAGATTAGAGAGCCCCTCCCAGGGCCTTTCCCTCCCGCCTGGCCTGGCTCCTGCTCTGGACTCCTTGATGGATGTTGAAGCCCACAGGGCTGCAGACTCCTCCTCCTTCCTGGGGACAGGCCAGGGCGCCCCACTCCGGCCTGCCCACTCCTGCAGTCATCTTTGTCTTCAGCCCAAATGCACAAGGAAACCCACACAAGCTGGCTTGCTATAGCCAGGCACAGCAGCCTCACCTGTCATTCCCAGGGCAGAGACCGGGCCCAGGCGCTTTCCCCCAAGGAGCCCGTAGAGCAGAAACTTGTATTTCTTGCCAGGCTCCAGGTCCTCTACGGTGACTGTGCGCTGGTCTGCGGCCACAGGCACTGCCCTGGGCTGCCCGTCCGTGTCCCTGTACTGGACCACGAAGGAGTCAAAGGGGCCCTGGGCTACCGTCCAGGACAGGCGCAGAGAGCTGGAGGTCTCCTCAGCCACGGTCAGTTCCCCCAGGTGGGGAGGTAGCTCCTTCTCCAGGGGAGCTGTGCAGAGGGAGGAGGGAAAGCTCTTAGTCACATGCTGCCTTTGCCTAAGCCCTGGCAGCCTCCCGGAGGTGTGAGGTTCTGGGAAATGGTCCCTCCAGTGTAGCCCCAGGGACAGCTCCTTGAGGAGACACACAGGCCTGCTCCCGCCATGCCCCACAGGAATGAGGGAGAACAGCCCCCTCCTCCTCTGGAGGCTGCTGCCCAAACTCCTTCCTGCCCCGCCCCTTCCCTGCTGTGATCGAGGATGCGCCAAATTCATTACAGATCATCTCCCGAGGGATGGGTGGCTGGGGGTGCAGAGAGGGCCTTTGTTTACCCTGACCCCCAGCCCCTGAGCAGGAATGAGGCCAGAGCTGAGAGAGACTCCCCGGAGGTCTCTGGGTTGTCACGGAGACACCCCAAACATCGAGAGCTGGTCTGGGCAGCCGGCCAATGCACGGCTCCCATCACTGCCAGGCTGTGATCTCCCCCTTGTCCCCTTGTGGCCATCAGCCTGAACATCCGTGCCTCCTGCTTCCCCAGCCCCACACTGACCCCACTGGGCCGGGGCAGCCAGGGTGGGGCAGGGAGAAGACAGGGGATTAGCTGGGAGAACAGAGGGCAGAGCAGAGGCTTGCCCGGGTGGGGCTGGGGCCGATGGGTGGGGATCTGTACCCCGTCCCCACAGTGAGGGTTTGGGAAGAGAATTACGGAGTCCCAGGGACCCAGGCCCAGACTGGCCGGCTGCTCTGTCCTCCTCTGGGCATAGTGACTCATGGTCCTGGGAGTGGGGTGAGGGTCGGTGACCCACCACACCCCTTCCTCAGGGAGCTGAGTCATAGGCATAGTGACACCAGGTTTTTCCATCGTCTTTCCATAGCCAAGCCCTCCCTTTTCTTCCACCCCTCGGCTCCGAGTCAGGGAGGAGGGAGGAGGATGGGAACCACTACTGAGTCCAGCGCCATTCCCAGCATTATGCAGGTGAGGACACTGAGGTCCCGGGGATGAAGCGGCTTGTCCATGGTCACCCTGGCAAAGGCTAGGACTGGAACTGGAACACAGATCTGCTGGCCCCAAAGCCCGTGTCCCTTTTATTTCCTCAGCAGTCAGCGAATGAAAGGAAGTAATGCATATGCTTCAGAACTGTGCCTGACACACAGAGGGACTCACTTTCGGAGTTAAGATGGTTGTGTCAGGGCTGATAGAGGGAATCTCACGGGAAGGCTGCAGGGCCAGCTCTGAGGGCTCGGATGAGAGGCAGCTCTGGAAAAGGTGGAGGCTGGACTGGGACTCACCTGTGGTGCTGTCAGCAGAGATGGGGCCCAGTCGTTTCCTGCCTGACAGACCATAGAGCAGGAACCTGTATTTCCTACTGGGCTCCAGGCCCTGGACTGTGACCTCCCGCTGGTTGGCTGCCACCGGCACCACCTGGAGCCGACCATCCTTATCCTTGTACTGGACCACGAAGGAGTCGAATTCGCCCTCAGGGACCGTCCACGAGAGGCCCACGGAGTCAGGGGTCGCATCTGTCACAGTCAGCTCCCCCAGGCGGGGAGACGGTTTGGTGTCTGGGGCTGGAAAAGACAGTGAGGTGCATGGAGAGTGGGATGGAGGCAAAGGGGCCACGGAGCTTCCTGGGCTGCTATGGCTCTGTGAGCCGGTCCCAGGAACGGGAGGGTGACTGGGCCAGGAGTAGGAATAAAAGAGGAGCCAGACAAGAAAGCAAGTGTCCCCTGGGGTGCAGGGAAAGTAGGGAGAGGGATGAGTGTGAGTGGGAGAGGAGAGCTCAGGGCCTGGGTTTTCCTGGACCCAATAAATCAGTGGGTGCTGAGGACTGGAGTGTGGGGCACAGAACGTGAAATTCCAACAGGTGCCACAAGGGGGCGAAGGCTCTGGCCGCGGGAGGCCTCCAGCCCTCACTCACCGGTCCTGGCCTCCACAGGGACTGGGCCGTGGCGTTTCCCATTCTGGAGTCCAAAGAGCAGGAACTTGTACTTGCGGGCCGGGTCCAGCCCCGAGACGGCGACCGCTCGGAGGTCTCCGCTCACAGGCACTGCCTGGGGCTGCCCCTGCGCGTCCCTGTACTGTACCAGGAAGGAGTCAAAGGGGCCCTGGGCCACCGTCCATGAGAGGCCCACTGAGTCCGAGGTCACGGCCGCCACCGCCAGCTCCCCCAGGCGGGGCTCCACCGGCAGTGGTGTGGGCAGGGGCGCTGAAAAGAGCAGAGCAGGCCCATGGGTCAGGAGGCAGGACCCTGCGCAAGGGAGGCAGTGCTCTCCCAGGACTGGAGTGAGCATTTCTTAGCGGCCTCCTCTAAAACGCTTGTTTTAGAATCTGTGCCCTGCATTGCTGTAAGCAGCTCACAAACAGTGGTGCATTTAACCCTCGCACAACATATGAAGTGGGTGCCATTATTATCATCACCCCAACTTTGCAGGAATCTGAAGCACAAGGTTAGGAAACGCCTGCAAAGTCGCACAATCACTACATTCGAAGGCACATGCAGATCTGGGCAGCTGGATCTGAAGCACTTTCTGAGCCACTAAAATACTCCTTAAGGGAGCCTGAAGACTAACAAATGAGCACACGAGCAACATGGAGGTTCCAGATCACAATGGGAGAAGGAAGCTACAACAAACAGGGCATGGACTACCTGCCCATCTGACTCCACACAGTCTCCATGAATCCAAGGATGAGGCAGGATCATTAGCAACATGGGAGAAAAGACAGAAACCTAGAGGCCCAGTCAAAAGAGGTGCCAAGATCCAAAGGAGAAACACAAGGGGGCTGCAGAGGTAAACCTGGGGACGAGGGCCTGTCCCCCCACTCACCCGTGATGCCCACGGTGGACACTGGGCCCACGCGCTGCCCCTCGTGGAGGCCGTACAGATGCATCTTGTATTTGCGCCCGGGCTCCAGGCCCCCCACGGTGACCTCGCTCTCCTCGCCCCTGACACGCACCACCTGGGGCTGCCCGTCCCTGTCCTTGTACTGCACGGTGAAGGAGTCGAAGCGGCCCTGGGGGACGGTCCAGGAGAGGCTCAGCGAGTCAGGGGAGGATCCTGTCACTGTCAACTCCCCCAGGAGCGGCTCCTCAGGGGCCTCCGGGGCCTCAGTGCTGGGTTCTGTGGGGCTGGGGGTCTCTTCCTCTGCAGTGGAGAAGGAGGGAGAGAGAGTGAGGGGGATGTCCTTGGGTCCTGGGGAAAAGGAGGGAGAAGCCAAGGCTATGACTGGGGGACCTGAGGTCATTTCAGAGAAGTCCATTCTTGGGGCTGGGTGGTCCTGCTCAGCTGACAGCTAACACACGTAACAAGTTCCAGGGTCAGCTGTGGGGGACCTGGCACAGCCACCAGCACAGCAAAACTCCTGATGGCCCCTCCCTGCTCAGGGGGAGCCAGGGGTCAACCACATAGGAAGGCCCAAGGGGAGTCCCAGCCCCAGCCACAAGCAGTTCTGTGGTGCTGACCAGACCCCTGTCCCATTCCCCACCAGTCATCACCAAAGAGCAAGAGGTGGCCCTCCCACAGCTCCCACCCTGGGGCTCCCATCATTCACTCACCCGTCACCCCAATGGCAGACACAGGGCCTACGCGCTGGCCACCGTGGAAGCCGTACAGGTTCATCTTGTATTTATGGTCTGGCTCCAGGCCTGAGATGGTGACCCCGTCCTCGTGCCCCGGCACCCGCACCGCCTTGGGCTGCCCATCCCCATTCCTGTACTGGACCAGGAAGTGGTCAAACTGGCCCTCGGGAACCATCCAGGACAGGCTGAGGGAGTCGGGGGTGGCATCTGTCACGGTCAGCTCCCCCAGGCGAGGCTTGATGGGGGGCTCAGGGGTCATGGTAGGCACTGCTTGGGTGGTCTCGGCTTCATCCTTTGGAGCTGGACAGACACGTGTGGGGACAGTGAGGACCCTGGGTTCTCAGTTCAGCATAGAAAGGATGTGTCACAAAACACAAAGTGCCCAAGAACAGGACGATGCTGCCCACAGCGCCTCCAGCACAGCTCTTCATCCTCTCCTCCCCTGCGGCCTTTCCTATCCCTCACCCTGACCCCCCTGCCCTCGGCCCCCACCTCACCCCCACCTCCCAACACCCAGGCCACCTCTCCCTGTCCCTCCAGCACCGCCTCTCTTTTGAGCACAGCTCCACTTGGCCTCTGCACCCTTACCCTCCCTGCACTGGGGTCTCCTCGCCATCTTTTGTTCACTGGGCTTCTGTCTTTGCTCTGCAACAAGCTCAGCACACTCCTCCCGAGGCCAGAGCCTGGGGTGTGTTCCTGGACCCAGCCCCTCACCAGCTGCCAGCAGCCTCAGAGTTACCTCTCCCCCGAGTTTCCCTGGATACCTTCCTCCCCAACCTCCAGTCCCCGATCCTAGTTTGAGCCACTGTCACCTCTCACCAGGGCCACCAACTGCCTATTGGCTTCCCTGCCTCTAGGCTCCCTGCCACCCCATCCCCATCTTTAGCCCCCACAGATGAGCTTCACACAGGCACAGCTGCTGGGGCCATCTCAGCACAGACCTGGGCAATCACATCCTCATCCCTGGGAGACCCCAGGCCTCCTCTGCTCCCACACTTCAGGACTATCTATTCACTGCAAAGGACACCCCACTCAATCCTCAGTACTTCTCACACACCATGCTCTTTCTAGCCTCCTGGCCTTTGCACCACCTGTGCTGATCTGACACGCTTCACCTTCTCTCTAAAGCTGTCACCAAGCTAAGGCCTGCCTGGCCTCAGATCCTGACTGTCCCCTGAGTATCCACAGGTAGGGTGGTTTAGGTATTCCTGCCTGGCTCTGGGCTTCTTGTCACATGCTCACCCGCCTTTGCTTTCTTACTGGTCCACAGCCTGTCCCCCATGACGTTAGCCCCATTAGGACAGGAACTTTTCCCATTAGGACAGGAACCCTAACTCTGAGCCTAACCTCTGTGAGGATTCATGAATGCAAGAAAAATTCGCTTCAACAAATTCTAAGAGAGTTTCCAAATCTGTTACTGGGAGGAGCTTTGCTACAAAGGTGTTCTGTGATTTGCACACAAATATTCATAGCAGCATTATTCTTGATAGCTAAGAGGTGGAAGCAACCCAGATGTCCATCAATGGATGAAAGGATGAGCAAAGTGTGGTCTGTATGTGTAAAACGAAACATTATTCAGCCTGAAAAGGAAGGAAGTTCTGGCCAGGTGCAGTGGCTCTTGCCTATAATCCCAGCACTTTGGGAGGTCAAGGTGGGAGACTCGCTTGAGGCCAGGAGTTTGAGACCAGCCTGGGCAACATACCGAGACCCCCATTGCCACAGAAAATAAAATAAAAAGGAAATTCTGACTGATGCTACGACATAGATGAACCTTAAAGACATTGTATTTAATGAAATGAACCATTCAAAAAAGACAAATATTGTATGATTGCACTTATATGAGGTACCTAGAGTCAAATTCATAGAGACAGAGAGTAGAATGGTGTTGCCAGGGGCTGGGGCAAGGGGAGAATGGGAGTTCGTGTCTAGTGGGTAGGAAGTTTCAGTCTGGGAAGAGGAGTTCTGGAAGTGGAGGGTGACAGTCCACAGCAATGTGAGTGGACTTCATGCTGGACTGCAAACTAGAAAGCGATTAGAATGGCGAATTATGTCAAGTGTACTTTACTACAATAAAAAACAACAAAAAAAGTGTGTTCCTTGGACCAGTGGCATCAAGATAGATGAGAATCTTGTTAGAAATGGATGGTCGGCTGGGCGCCGTGGCTCACGCCTATGATCCCAGCACTTTGGGAGGCCGAGGAGGGCAGATCACGAGGTCAGGAGATTGAGACCATCCTGGCTAACACGGTGAAACCCATCTCTACTAAAAATATGAAAAAATTAGCTGGGCGTGGTGGCGCACGCCTGTAGTCCCAGTTACTCAGGAGGCTGAGGTAGGAGAATCACTTGAACCCAGGAGGCGGAGGTTCCAGTGAGCCGAGATTGAGCCACTGTACTCCAGCCTGGGTGACAAAGCGAGACTCTATCTCAAAAAAAAAAAAAAGAAAGAAAGAAAAAGAAAGAAATGCATGGTCTCTTGCCCTAGGCCAAGCCTGCTGAATCCAAATCTGCTTTTTAACAAAAATCTCCAGGCATTTGGATACACAAAGGAAGGAATACTCTTCAGAGTATGTTTTCACGAAGACTGGAGAGACAGCAGTGTCTTCCAGGGCCATCTTCCCCACCTCGCCTCACTCACACTTACTCACCTGTCACACCCACAGCGGACACTGGGCCCACGCGCTGCCCCTCGTGGAGGCCGTACAGGTGCATCTTGTATTTGCACCCGGGCTCCAGGCCCCCCACGGTGACCTCGCTCTCCTCGCCCCTGACACGCACCACCTGGGGCCGCCCGTCCCTGTCCTTGTACTGCACAGTGAAGGAGTCGAAGCGGCCCTGGGGGATGGTCCAGGAGAGGCTCAGCGAGTCAGGGGAGGATCCTGTCACTGTCAGCTCCCCCAGGAGCGGCTCCTCAGGGGGCTCCGGGGCCTCCGTGCTGGGTTCTGTGGGGGCGGGAGTTTCTTCCTCTGCAGCTGAGAAGAGGGGACAGAGAAGGTGAGGCAGCTTCCCTGGGGGATGTCCTTGGGTCTTGTGAGGAAGGAGAGCGAAGCTGTGGCCATGAGTGGGGGTCCTGGGGTCAGCTTGGAGAGGCCCATCTTTGGAGCTGGGTGGTCTTGCTCAGTTTACAGTCAACAC
Source organism: Homo sapiens (assembly GCF_000001405.40). Classification (NCBI taxonomy): domain Eukaryota; kingdom Metazoa; phylum Chordata; class Mammalia; order Primates; family Hominidae; genus Homo; species Homo sapiens. Next base: position 3,395,190 of record NT_167247.2, read on the forward strand.
ACATGACAAGCTCTGAGGTCAGTGCTGCGGAACTTGGGACAGCCACCAACAGAGCTCACAGGGCCCTTCTCCACCCAGGAAGATCTGTCAGTCCTCAGGGAAGTGGGGAAAGACAAAAAAGTACCATGGCTCAGCCAAGAGCAGAGGGGCTTCCTGGGCCAGTTCACCCATCACCAGAGAAAGGGAGACCCTCCCACAGGCCCCACTCTGGGGCTCCCATCGTACACTCACCTGTCACCCCAATGACAGAGATGGGGCCCACGCGCTGGCCACCGTGGAAGCCGTACAGGTTCATCTTGTACTTGTGGTCTGGCTCCAGGCCTGAGATGGTGACCCCGTCCTCGTGCCCCGGCACCCGCACCACCTTGGGCTGCCCATCCCCATTCCTGTACTGGACCAGGAAGTGGTCAAACTGGCCCTCGGGGACCATCCAGGACAGGCTGAGGGAGTCAGGGGTGGCATCTGTCACGGTCAGCTCCCCGAGGCGAGGCTTGTTGGGGGGCTCAGGGGTTGTGGTGGGCACTGCTTGGGTGGTCTCTGCTTCATCCTCTGGAGCTGGACAGACACGTGTGGGGAGAGTGAGGTCCCTGGGTTCTCAGTTCAGCATAGAAAGGATGTGTCACAAAACACAAAGTGCCCAAGAGCAGGACGATGCTGCCCACAGCGCCTCCAGCACAGCTCTTCATCCTCTCCTCTCCTGCGGCCTTTCCTATCCCTCACCCTGACCCCCCTGCCCTCAGCCCCCACCTCACCCCCACCTCCCAACACCCAGGCCACCTCTCCCTGTCCCTCCAGCACCGCCTCTCTTTTGAGCACAGCCCCACTCGGCCTCTGCACCCTTAGCCTCCCTGCACTGGTGTCTCCTCGCCATCTTTTGTTCACTGGGCTTCTGTCTTTGCTCCGCTACAAGCTCAGCACACTCCTCCCGAGGCCAGAGCTTGGGGTGTGTTCCTGGACCCAGCCCCTCACCAGCTGCCAGCAGCCTCAGAGTACCTCTCCCCCGAGTTTCCCTGGATACCTTCCTCCCCCACCTCCAGTCCCCAATCCTAGTTTGAGCCACTGTCACCTCTCACCAGGGCCACCAACTGCCTACTGGCCTCCCTGCCTCCAGGCTCCCTGCCACCCCATCCCCATCTTTAGCTCCCACGGATGAACTTCACACAGGCACAGCTGCTGGGGCCATCTCAGCACAGACCTGGGCAACCACATCCTCATCCCTGGGAGACCCCAGGCCTGGTGAGTGGTCCCCTCCTCTGCTCCCACACTTCAGGATGATCCACCAACTGCAAAGGACACCCCACTCAATCCTCAGTGTCTCTCACACACCATGCTCTTTCTAGCCTCCTGGCCTTTGCACTAGCTGTGATGATTTGACATGCTTCACTTCCTCTCCAAAGCTGTCATCAAGCTAAGGCCTGCCTGGCCTCAGGTCCTGGCTGTCCCCTGGGTACTTGTGGGCAGAGTGACTTCACTGTCCCTTCCCAATCCTGGCTTGGCTCCTGGGCTCCACATGCTCATCCTTCTTTGCTTACTTTCCGGTTTTCTGCTTGTGCCCACAATTGTGAGCCCCATGAAAACATGAACTTGTGTGTGTCACTTTCCAGCTTCCGCCTATGAAAGAAAAAGGCAGCCCTGACACCCGTGAGCTGCCCTTTCCCTCTGCCAGGCCACGGCTGCTTGGGGCTGGCCTGGCACAGTCTGGTCTTGGCGTGGTCCAGTTGAACAGACAATTTCATGGAACATCAACATCAGACTAGGCCATTTGTCAGTAGGATGGATCAAGACAAGAACAAGGCCAGTCTGTGATCATGTCTCAGTAAGGATGAACTCTAACATTTTCCAAAGCACAAAAATAACCAAACATCACCCATCCAGCTAATCTGAGTGATAGCTGCTTCTTTACCAATGGCAGCTTTGGCCTTGCTCTAGTTGACCTCCCCAAAGATAAGACTTAGTGAGACGCCTGGTAATAGGGTTATCCCTTCTTCCTGACAGCGTCTAATAAAGAGCAAAACCTTGCTTCCTTAAATGCTTTCCTAAAACACCAAACACAAGCCCAGTTCCTTAACAATCTCTTTCTAAAGCCTCTTCCTAAGTCACCCCACAGTCCTCCTGCACTGCATGGAGCATAATTCCATCCATTCAATTTTAGGTGAGTTTCTGGAGGTCGTTGGCCAGAGGACATTGATACCCTAAAATTACAGTGTCCGGATCAGGGCAAGGAATTCTTTGCTGAATGAACAAATTGGCCCATTGGTGAGAAAGGTCTGTTCCTATTCCTATTCCAATAGTGGGCTTCCAGAGTGTGCAGTCGACGCGCTGCCCCTCACTGCCTTCTGTCTTCCTTCACGGCCCCTAGTCAACTCCACAGAGAAAGCACACTACCAGGAATCAGGGACGCAGAAAAATTCTCTTCAACAGATTTCAAAAGAGGGTCCAATTCCTTTGTCGTGAAGAACTTTGCTACTCAAGGGGCGTGATCATGGGCCAGCAGCATCCGCATCATTTCTTGTTGGAAATGCAGAATCTCTGGCCCTAGCCCAAACCTGTTGAACCCCAATCTGCCTCTTAGCAAGATCCCCAAGCATGGAAACGTGCAAAAGAAGCCCGGCTGGTGAGAATATTTTTGTTTTCATGAAGTTGCAGAGAAAGCAACATCTTCTAGGGCCATCTTCCTCACTCACAAACACTCACCTGTCACACCCACGGTGGACACCGGGCCCACACGCCGCCCCTCGTGGAGGCCGTACAGGTGCATCTTGTATTTGCGCCCGGGCTCCAGGCCCCCCACGGTGACCTCGCTCTCCTCGCCCCTGACACGCATCACCTGGGGCCGCCCGTCCCTGTCCTTGTACTGCACGGTGAAGGAGTCGAAGTGGCCCTGGGGGATGGTCCAGGAGAGGCTCAGCGAGTCAGGGGAGGATCCTGTCACTGTCAGCTCCCCCAGGAGCGGCTCCTCAGGGGGCTCCGGGGCCTCAGTGCTGAGTTCCGTGGGGCTGGGGGTCTCTTCCTCTGCAGCTGAGAAAAGGAGATATAGAGAGGATGCCAGGTGCCTGGGGGATGTGCTCAGGTCTTCAAGGGAAGGAGGGAGAAACCATGGCCACTACTGGGTATGTGAGGTCATTTCAGAAAAGCCCATTCTTGGGGCTGGGTGGTCCTGCTCAACTGACAGCTAACACACATGACAAGTTCCAGGGTCAGCTGTGGGGGACCTGGGACAGTCACCAGCACAGCAGAACTCCTGATGGCCCCTCCCTGCTCAGGAGGAGCCAGGGGTCAGCCTCAGAGGAAGGCCCAAGGGGAGCCCCAGCCACAAGCAGGTCTGTGGTGCTGACCGGACCCCTGGCCCATTCCCCACCAGTCATCACCAAAGAGCAAGAGGGTGACCCTCCCACGGCTCCCACCCTGGGGCTGCCATCATCCACTCACCCGTCACCCCAATGACAGAGATGGGGCCCACGCGCTGGCCACCGTGGAAGCCGTACAGGTTCATCTTGTATTTATGGTCTGGCTCCAGGCCTGAGATGGTGACCCCGTCCTCGTGCCCCGGCACCCGCACCGCCTTGGGCTGCCCATCCCCATTCCTGTACTGGACCAGGAAGTGGTCAAACTGGCCCTCGGGAACCGTCCAGGACAGGCTGAGGGAGTCAGGGGTGGCATCTGTCATGGTCAGCTCCCCCAGGCGAGGCTTGATGGGGGGCTCAGGGGTCATGGTAGGCACTGCTTGGGTGGTCTCGGCTTCATCCTCTGGAGTTGGACAGACACGTGTGGGGACAGTGAGGTCCCTGGCTCCTCAGTTCAGCATAGAAAGGATGTGTCACAAAACACAAAGTGCCCAAGAGCAGGACGATGCTGCCCACAGCCCCTCCAGCACAGCTCTTCATCCTCTCCTCTCCTGCGGCCTTTCCTATCCCTCACCCTGACCCTCCTGCCCTCAGCCCCCACCTCACCCCCACCTCCCAACACCCAGGCCACCTCTCCCTGTCCCTCCAGCACCGCCTCTCTTTTGAGCACAGCCCCACTCGGCCTCTGCACCCCTGGCCTCCCAGCACTGGGGTCTCTTCGCCATCTTTTGTTCACTGGGCTTCTGTCTTTGCTCCGCAACAAGCTCAGCACACTCCTCCCGAGGCCAGAGCCTGGGGTGTGTTCCTGGATCCAGCTCCTCACCAGCTGCCAGCAGCCTCAGAGCATCTTTACCCTGAATTCCCCTGGATACCTTCCTACCCCACCTCCAGTCCCCGATCCTAGTTTGAGCCACTGTCACCTCTCACCAGGGCCACCAACTGCCTACTGGCCTCGCTGCCTCCAGGCTCCCTGCCACCCCATCCCCATCTTCAGCCCCCACGGATGAGCTTCACACAGGCACAGCTGCTGGGGCCATCTCAGCACAGACCTGGGCAACCACATCCTCATCCCTGGGAGACCCCAGGCCTGGTGAGTGGTCCCCTCCTCTGCTCCCACACTTCAGGATGAGATACTCACCGTAAAGGACACCCCACTCAATCCTCAGTGCCTCTCACGTGCCATGCTCTTTCTAGCCTCCTGGCCTTTGCACCAGCTGTGATTATCTGACACACTTCACCTTCTCTCTAAAGCTGTCACCAAGCTAAGGCATGCCTGGCCTCAGGTCCTGGCTGTCCCCTGGGTACCCATGGGCAGGGTGACTTAGGCGTCCCTGTCTGGTCCTGACCTGAGCCCTGGGCCTCCCTATCACATGCTCACCCGCCTTTGCTTCATTTGCTGGATTGCAGCCTGTCTCTCCATGACATGTCTTTCCATAATGTTGCTATATTCCTTTCACTGTGAGCCCCATCAAGACAGAAATATGTATAGGAAAATGGTAGAGAAGGGCACATTTTCTAGGGCTGTCTTCCAACCCTGCCCCACCCACACTCACTCACCTGTGACGCCCACGGCAGACACCGGGCCCAGGCGCCGCCCCTCGTGGAGGCCGTACAGGTGCATCTTGTACTTGCGCCCAGGCTCCAGGCCCCTCACAGTGACCTTGCTCTCCTGGCCCCCAACACGCACCGCCTGGGGCCGCCCGTCCCTGTCCTTGTACTGCACGGTGAAGGAGTCAAAGCGGCCCTGGGGGACGGTCCAGGAAAGGCTCAGCGAGTCAGGGGAGGATCCTGTCACTGTCAGCTCCCCCAGGAGAGGCTCCTCGGGGGGCTCTGGGGCCTCTGTGCCTGGTTCTGTAGGGCTGGGGGTCTCGTCCACATCCTCTTGTGGGGCTGAAAGGTAATATAGGGGGATACAGAGTTTAAGGGTTTAAGGGCAACTTGCTTTGCTGGTGCTGTCAACAGAGGTCATACATCAAATGCGCCCCTCCAGAGCAGGCTGAGGGCTGGGGCAGCTTTGTGTTCGCCGTTCAGTGACTCTTGGAATAAGAGCCGGTGAGGTATCCCCGAGCCCCCGGCCTGTACTGCTGGCAGAGCTGCACTGTTAGAAACCTCCAGAAGGCAACTGAGACATAGTGTCAGGAGCCAAAGTAATTCTCATTTCCTTTGACCCAATAATCCCAGTTCTGGGCATCTGTCCTAAGAAAATTATTAAAGCAGGAAAAAGTTATAGCATGGAAGAACTCACGATGGGGTTATTCATGACAGCAGATGTGTCAGGAACACAAATGACCCGTAGAAGATGATTAATTTTGTTATAGTGCTTTCACCGCAACGCATCAAATAACCATTGAAACGATGATGAATGCTGGTTGTGTAGCCGTGAGGTGAATGATTACAATGTACTTGTGTACAAAAAAGGAAGTGCCAAGAACTTTATGAACACTGATTGCAACTTTAAAACACGCTCTGCATGCAAAATACAGGAAGGGAATGTGCACTACACACATTGTTATTAATGCCGGCAGCTGGGGGAGAAAGTAGGACTATGAGATTCTTGTTTTCTGTTTTTCAAGCTTTCCACATAATGTTGCTGTATTATTTTCACTAGAAAAACGTGGGCTAAAAAAGAAATTCTGGGCTGGGAGCAGTGGTTCACGCCTGTAATCCTAGCATTTTGGGAGGCCGAGGCGGGTGGATCACCTGAGGTTGGGAATTCGAGTCTAGCTTGGCCAATATCATGAAACCCGGTCTCTACTGAAAATACAAAAATTAGCCAGGCGTGGTGGCATGCACCTGTAATCCCAGCTACTCAGGAGGCTGAGGCAGGACAATCACTTGAACCTGGGAGGCAGAGGTTGCAGTGAGCTGAGATCACACCACTGCACTCCAGCCTGGGCAACAGAGTGAGACTCAGTCTCAAAAAAAAAAAAAAAAAAGAAAAAGAAAGAAAGAAATTCTGGGCTACAACAATTAATAATAGAGTGTGGGGTGGGGGTGGGGCAGCAATACACATAGAACAGGAGGGGCAGGGGTGGGTCCCTCAGCCTGTCCTCTGTCAGTTCTGTGGTTCCCCACAGTGGAGACAGGAACACAAAACTGAACGTGGACCAGGACAGCTTACCCCCGGAATGTGAATTTTTCTAATGTTCATTTTCCAATAATTTCCCTATTCCCCCTGTTTCCCAACACTCAGATGGTCCTCTGAACATGCATATGGAAATGAGGCCTCTCCCCCAGGAATCGGGGATGCCGATTGAGAGTGCTTCCTCTGTCTGGATGGCCTTTGGGAGATGAGCTCGCACCTCACTTGGTGCCACAGAGGTGGCGACCTGCCCTGCAAGAGACCGCCTCTCAGCAGGGCTGATTCTTCCCCATCGGTAGGAATTCTCGAAAAATACTCTAAGCCAGGCATAACAACCTGGCTGAGGATGACTTAGAAAAGGCAGCCTGACTGAGCATTTGGAATTCAATTAACCTCATGATCTCCACCCCTCCAATTTCTTATGGACTAGAAATTTTGAACTTCCTCATAATTAGAAATGAAATAAGTCTGGCTGGGCGCGGTGGCTCATGCCTGTAATCCCAGCACTTTGGGAGGCCGAGGCGGGCAGATCACCTGAGGTCAGGAGTTTGAGCAGCCTGACCAACATGGAGAAACTCCCTCTCTACTAAAAATACAAAATTAGCCAGATGTGGTGGCGCATGCCTGTAATCCCAGCTACTCGGGAGGCTGAGGCAGGAGAATCGCTTGAATCCAGGAGGCAGAGGTTGTAGTGAGCCGAGATCATGCCATTGCACTCCAGCCTGGGCGACAAGAGCGAAACTTCATCTCAAAAAAAAAAAAGAAGGAAATAAATGAAATAAGCCACAAGAGCGATAGAGGAGTAGGACAGATGGAGTGTAAAGAAGGAGAAGACATTATATATTTTCTCTTTTCCCTTTCCCTGATTGTAAAAGAAATGTTTGCCATTTAAGAAAATTTGGACTATGCAGAATAGAATAATACAGAAAAAAATGTGCTGGAATATTCTATTCTATCTAACAAATCAGGCAACCCGTGGGATGTGTTTCTTTCCAGTCTTCTTGCCATGCCTGTTACTTTCAAATGGTTGTGATTAGCATCCTTACAAAAATTTGGGCTCCTTTTTCTTCTTTTTTGAGACTGAGTTTGGCTGTATCTGCCAGGCTGGAGTGCAGTGGTGATCTCGGCTCACTGCAACCTCTGCCTCCCGGGTTCAAGCAATTCTCGTGCCTCCACCTCCCAAGTAACTGGGATTACAGGCATGTGCCACCATGCTTGGCTAATTTTTGTATTTTTAGTAGAGATGGGGTTTCACCATGTTGGCTAGACTGGTCTGGAACTCCTGACCTCAGGCGATCAGCCCGCCTCGGCCTCCCAAAGTGCTGGGATTACAGGCGTAAGCCACTGTGCCCAGCCTAGGCTCTCTTTTTTCAATGTAACATTATAAAGTAAGGGTCTTATGTTAAAACATTTCAGTGGCGGCATAATAGCTCTTTTTATAGATGTTGCCTAAATTATTTAGTCATCCCAACGTGGTTTGACGTTGGATTGTTCCTCTTGTGTGCATTTGTGTATGTGGTTATAACAAAGAATGCTGTTATTAAGATGGAAAGAAAGGAAAATTCTCGTAAGTCAGGCTTGGTGTGCGCCTGACATATTTCACTCTTGGAGGTTATCAGTGGTTGACCATTAGAGGGAGGCCACGCCAAAGTGAACAAGCAAACCGCTAGCATAGGCCACAGCCACAGGGCACAGAGGGAGGGCAGGACACAGGAGACAAGTCTGGACCCACAGGGCTTGGTGAAAGGGCACAGCAGTAAACCAGGTACCCATGAGGGAAAGGTGGTTACCCCGAGACTCCAAGCACTACTCACCAGTCACGCCCACGGTGGACACCGGGCCCACGCGCCGCCCCTCGTGGAGGCCGTACAGGTGCATCTTGTATTTGCGCCCAGGCTCCAGGCCCCCCACGGTGACCTCGCTCTCCTCGCCCCCAACACGCACCACCTGGGGCCGCCCGTCCCTGTCCTTGTACTGCACGGTGAAGGAGTCGAAGCGGCCCTGGGGGACGGTCCAGGAGAGGCTCAGCGAGTCAGGGGAGGATCCTGTCACTGTCAGCTCCCCCAGGAGCGGCTCCTCAGGGGGCTCCGGGGCCTCCATGCTGGGTTCTGTGGGGCTGGGGGTCTCTTCCTCTGCAGCTGAGAAAAAGGGACACAGAGAGGATGGCAGGGTCCCTGGGGGATGTGCTTACGTCGTGGGGAAAAGGAGGGAGAAGGCTATGACTAGGGGACATATGAAATAGCCAAGGCTATGACTAGGGGACCTGAGGTCAGTTCAGAGAGGCCCATTCTTGGGGTCCTGCTCAGCTGACAGCTAACACACATGACAAATTCCAGGGTCAGCTGTGGGGGACCTGGCACAGCCACCAGCACAGCAAAACTCCCAATGGCCCCTCCCTGCTCAGGGGGAGCCAGGGGTCAACCACACAAAAAGGTACAATGGGAGCCCCAGCCCCAGCCACAAGTAGGTCTGTGGTGCTGACCAGACCCGTCCCATTCCCCACCAGTCATCACCAAAGAGCAAGAGGGTGACCCTCCCATGGCTCCCACCCTGGGGCTCCCATCGTCCACTCACCTGTCACCCCGATGGCAGACACGGGGCCCACACGCTGGCCACCGTGGAAGCCGTACAGGTTCATCTTGTACTTGTTGTCTGGCTCCAGGCCGGAGATGGTGACCCTGTCCTCATGTCCTGGCACCCGTGTTGCCTTGGGCTGCCCATCCCCATTCTTGTACTGGACCAGGAAGTGGTCAAACTGTCCCTCGGGAACCGTCCAGGACAGGCTGAGGGAGTCAGGGGTCGCATCTGTCACGGTCAGCTCCTCCAGGCGAGGCTTGATGGGGGGTTCAGGGGTGGGAGGTTCTGTCGAGGCTGGGGCCATTTCTTCATCCTTTCCTGGGGCTGCATCAGAAAATAGAATGGGTAGGCATGCCTGGTGGGCCTCCTTTTAACCAAGGGACTCTGGGATTCTCTTAGACACACCAAGGGCCCACAGTCTGGATGCTGGTGCCCCAAGCTTAGAATATCATTTTTCTGCTTTGAATGTTCAGTTAACACCACACCTGTGGTGAAGTCATGATGCTCAGGTGGCATCCCTGTGATGCTCAGTGTGCAGGCCTGGGACCCTTAGGAGCTGCCAAGCAAATTTGTTTTGCAGGACAGAATTGATGCTTTATAAGAACACCAACCAGGGCCGGGTGTGGTGGCTCAGGCCTGTAATCTCAGCACTTTGGGAGGCCGAGGCGGGCGGATCATGAGGTCAGGAGATTGAGACCATCCTGGCTAACACTGTGAAACCCCGTCTTTACTAAAAATACAAAAAATTAGCCAGGCGTGTTGGCGGGCACCTGTAGTCCCAGCTACTCAGGAGGCTGAGGCAGGAGAATGGCATGAACCCAGGAGGCGGAGCTTGCGGTGAGCCAAGATCACGCCACTGCACTCCATCCTGGGAGACAGCGAGACTCCTTCTCAAGAAAAAAACAAACAAACAAAAACAAACAAACAAACAAAAAACAGCAATCAGGGCCAGGCGTGGTGGCTCAGGCCTGTAATCCCAGCACTTTGGGAGGCCGAGGCGGGAGGATCACCTGAGGTCAGGAGCTTGAGACCAGCCTGGCCAACATGGCGAAATCCTGTCTGTACTAAAAATACAAAAATTAGCCAGATGTGCTGGTGCATGCCTGTAATCCCAGCTACTCGGAAGGCTGAGGCAGGAGAACTGCTTGGACCTGGGAGGCAGAGGTTGCAATGAGCTGAGATCGCACCACGGCACTCCAGCCTGAGAGCCTGGGTGACAGAGTGAGACTCCATCTCAACATAAAGAAAAAAAAAAAAAAGAAAACAAAGAACACCAACCAAACACAACAGGCAAGTTGTATCAGGAGGTTCATCCACCTGGGCTTGGAAATTCCACCTAATCCTGAGCATTTTTAGAAACCAACTTAGATTTTATAGCTGAGGGTAGAGAGATGAGACCACATGAGGGCATCTTTGCAGCTGAGTTGTCTCTGGACCTGCAGTAGCTCTGCTAACTTACGGCAGAGAGAGCACCTCCAGTGATGCCAGTTCTTTTGGCCCGTGTGAAATCAATTGCTTTGTTTTCATTGATTTCTTTAATCTTTTCTGCTCTTCATAGGGTTTTATTCTGCCTTGATAGTGGTATTACAAATTCATCACATTTCATTTGTCTGTTCTTTTTGAGAACTGAGTCTTAAGCATCTAGGGGGTAACAGCTATAAAAGAGCTTACAAAAGCATCAAAGAGCCGAGTTACAGGGTAATGAAAGGAAAATGCCTTATTAAGTTGTGCACATGGCCAATATTTACAATTAAAGTAATAGTATCCATGTTAACAGGATTCAGTGTTGTTTTAAAAATAAATGGGTATTAATTTGGGAGCTTAGAGAACACATACAATTTTTCCCACTGAAATCAGTGATAATTATGAGAATTTGCCCTAAGCGGTTTTCAGGAACTACCTACCTTCCTCAGAAGGGAAAGACTGCAGTTATCTCTCATTGTGTGTGAGAGCCAAGCCACACTCCCGCCCACCCTTCACGACAGGTATGGTTATTCCTTCTTTACAGATGAGGAAAAGGATGTACAGAGAGGTCGTGTGTCTGTTTTTTGTTTGCTTGTTTTGTTTTTTTGAGACAGGGTCTCACTCTGTCACACAGGCTGGAGTGCAGTGGCTCGATCTCGGCTCACTGCAACCTCCGCCTCCTGGGTTCAAGCGATTCTCCCGCCTTAGCCTCCCGAGTAGCTGGGACTACAGGCATGTGCCACCACACCCAGCTAATTTTTGTATTTTTAGTAGAGATGGGGGTTTCATGATGTTGGCCAGGCTCGTCTCGAACTCCTGACCTCAAGTGATCTGCCCCCTTCGGCCTCCCAAAGTGCTGGGATTACAGGCATGAGCCACCGTGCCCAGACAGGTTGTGTGAGTCTCTTGAGGACACACAGCTCAAATGGGCTGAAGCTATGGTCAACCCCAGGTGTGCCTCAGTCTGTGTTATTTTCCTGGTCCCCCACCTCTTTGGGAACCCAAAAAGCCCATGTGTAACGGGCAGAAGACCTGGGGCAATACCAAAGTCTCGGAGTGAAGGCACCAGCAGAACCATTCCCAGGAGCTTGGGAGGCTTGGTCTCAGGGAAAGTAAAATAAAGCCACCAGATACTGACAATAAAAGGGAAACTGAGTCTAGTTCAGGGCAGGGCCCAGTGCCCTACTGCACACTCACCAGTTAAACCAACAGCAGACACGGGGCCCACGCGCTGGCCACCGTGGAAGCCGTACAGGTTCATCTTGTACTTGTGGTCTGGCTCCAGGCCCGAGATGGTGACCCCATCCTCGTGTCCCGGCACCCGCACCGCCTTGGGCTGCCCATCCCCATTCTTAAACTGGACCAAGAAATGGTCAAACTGGCCCTCGGGGACTGTCCAGGAGAGGCTGAGGGAGTCGGAGGTGATGTCTCTCACTGTCATCTGCCCTAGGCGCAGCTTTGCAAGAGGAGCATCAGGGGACTCCTCTTCGGGGGCTAGGAAGAGATAGAAACAGAATCTTTTCTCTTGCTGCAAGGAGGTGTTGAGGCCCCAGCTGTCTTGAATTCAGGTCAGAAGGTGGGCCCAGTCTGGCCCTAACTTAAGATCAATTTCTGATTATAATCATAATCAGATTTTGTGGCTTCCTTATGGTCCCTCAACCATGCCAGGCAGCCTCCTACCTCAGTACTTTTACAATGACTGTTCCCTCTACCTAAATGTTCTTTCCCCAGATATCTTCATGGCTCATCCCCACACTTCCTTTAAGTCTTTGTTCAAAAGCCACCTTCTTCTGTGGGCCTTCCCTGATTACTCTATTTAAAATTTCAGTTTTCTCAATTGCAATGTATCCTCCTTCTATAGACCTGATTTCAGCAACAAATTGGGAAACAACAATTATGAGACACTCGGGAGACTGTAGCACTACCTGGATACTTGATATCAAGGCATGATTGTTCACTTATCAAGGTATGCTAATTGTATTGTGGAATTTTATTATTTATTTATTTATTTTTTGACACAGAGTCTCACTCTGTCACCCAGGCTGGAGTGCAGTGGCGCGATCTTGGCTCACTGCAACCTCCACCTCCTGGGTGCAAGCAATTTCTTGTGCCTCAACCCCCGCCAAGTAGCTGGGACTACAGGCACGTGCCACCACGCTCCGCTTTTTTGTACTTTTTAAAATTTATTATTATTATTATTATTTTTAGTAGAGACGGGGTTTCACCATGTTGGTCAGGCTGGTCTTGAACTCTTTACCTCAAGTGATCCACCTGCCTTGGCCTCCCAAAGTGCTGGGATTACAAGCGTGAACCACCTCACCTGGCCATATTGTGGATTTTTTAAAAATAATTTTTTTAAAAAGAGATATACCTTTAAATATTTAGTGATGAAAGCATAGGATGTCTGTGGTTCGTTTTTAAAATACTGCAGTAGTATAACCACACAATGCAATACTGTTTGGCAATAAAAAGCAGTGTAGTGGCTGAGAGAGAGCAGGTGGCTCATGCCTGCTATCCCAGCACTTTGTAAGGCCCAGGCAGGAGGATTCCTTGAAGCCAGGAGTTTGATATCAGCCTGGGTAACACTGTGAGACCCCATCTCTACAAAAAATTTTTTTAAATTAGCTGAGTGTGGTGGCGAGCACCTGTGGCCCCAGCTACCTGGGGGGCTGAGATGGGAGGATGGCTTGAGCCCAGGAGTCTGGGGCTGCAGTGAGCTATGATCATGCCACTGCACTATAGCCTGGGCAATAGAGTGGGAATTTGTCTCAAAAAAAATCAATCAATCAATCAATCAATCAATCAATAGCAATGTAGTAAGTATAGTACTTCTACATGCTACATTGATGAACCTCAAAAACATTATGCTCAGTGAAAGAAGCTAGACACAAAAGAATACATATTGTTTGAGTCCATTTATACGAAATGTTCTGGAACAGCAATCTACAGAGAAAAAAGTAGATTAGTTATAAACTAGGGCTGAGGTAGGAATGGGTCTGGACCCAAGATTTCTTTTGGGGGTGATGGAAAAGTTCTAAAATTAGATCGTGGTGATGGCTGCACAAGTAGGTAAAGATACTAAAATCAGTAAGTTGTACACTAAAAACAAGTGTATTTTATGCCACATGAATTATATCTCCATAAAGGTGTTAATAAAGAAAACATTCAGGCCGGGTGTGGCGGCTCACGCCTGGAATCCTATCACTTTGGCTGAGGTGGGAGGATAACTTGAGCCCAGGAGTTCGAGACTGGCCTGGGCAACATGGCTAAACCCTGTCTCTACAAAAAATACAAAAAATTAGCTGGGCATGGTGGAGTGCACTTGTAGTCCCAGCTATTCGGGAGGCTGAAGTGGGAGGATCCCTTAAGCCCAGGAGGTTGAGGCTGCAGTGCAGTGAATTGTGACTGTGCCAGTACACTCTAGCCCAGGCGACAGAGTGAGACCTTGTCTAAAAAGAAAGAAAGAAAAGAAAAGAATGAAAGAAAGAAAGAAAGAGAAAGAAAGAAAGGAAGGAAGAAAGAAAGAAAGAAAGAAAGAAAGAAAGAAAGAAAGAAAGAAAGAAAGAAAGAAAGAAAACATTCTAGTGATTCTAGTGGAGGAAGTGGGTGGGGCAGAGATGAGCCAGACTGGCCAGAAGTCGATATTTGATTGAAGGAGGATGGCAGGGTCTTTGTACTATTCTTTCTGTTTATACATTTGAAATTTTATTTAACAAATACTTATTAATTTAATTAATTTGTATTTCAAAAATGTGTTCCAATCTCACAAAAAGAGTTATGTATAGAGTTCCAAGGAAAAGCGGAGAGCCACAAACCAGCCAGTGAATCACCTCCCAAGAGGCCTCAGTCCCTGGGGGCCTTTCCCATATGGCTCCGACACTTCTCCTGGATTTGCTCTCTCTGTCCCCAGATCACACCTGTCCTGAGCCTTTAGTGAACAGGGTGTATTACAGGTTTGAGGTCTTGGGGTTCTGGGTCCCTAGTGGAGGAGATGCTGGAGGCTGTACTTTGCTAAGACCCAACCCAGAGGGCTCTGCAGTGCACACTCACCCGTGACGCCCACAGCAGACACTGGGCCCACGCGCCGCCCCTCGTGGAGGCCGTACAGGTGCATCTTGTACTTGCGCCCAGGCTCCAGGCCCCCCACGGTGACTTCACTCTCCTCGCCCCCAACACGCACCACCTGGGGCCGCCCGTCCCTGTCCTTGTACTGCACGGTGAAGGAGTCGAAGCGGCCCTGGGGGACGGTCCAGGAGAGGCTCAGCGAGTCAGGGGAGGATCCTGTCACTGTTAGCTCCCCCAGGAGCGGCTCCTCAGCGGGCTCCGGGGCCTCCATGCTGGGTTCTGTGGGGCTGGGGGTCTCTTCCTCTGCAGCTGAGAAGGAGGAAGAGAGAGTGAGGGGGATGTCCTTGGGTACTGGGGAAAAGGAGGGAGAAGCCAAGGCTATGACTGGGGGACCCGAGGTCAGTTCAGAGAGGCCTACTCTTGGGGCTGGGTGGTCCTGCTCAGCTGACAGCTAACACACATGACAAGTTCCAGGGTCAGCTGTGGGGGACCTGGGACAGCCACCAGCACAGCAAAATTCCCGATGGCCCCTCTCTGTTCAGGAGGAGCCAGTGGTCAACCTCACAGGAAGGCCCAAGGGGAGCCCCAGCCCCAGCCACAAGCAGGTCTGTGGTGCTGACCAGACCCTTGTCCCATTCCCCACCAGTCATCACCAAAGAGCAAGAGGGTGACCCTCCCATGGCTCCCACCCTGGGGCTCCCATCATCCACTCACCTGTCACCCCGACGACAGACACAGGGCCCATGCGCTGGCCACCGTGGAAGCCGTACAGGTTCATCTTGTATTTATGGTCTGGCTCCAGGCCCGAGATGGTGACCCCTTCCTCGTGCCCTGGCACCCTCACTGCCTTGGGCTGCCCATCTCCATTCCTGTACTGGACCAGGAAGTGGTCAAACTGTCCCTCGGGAACTGTCCAGGACAGGCTGAGGGAGTCAGGGGTGGCATCTGTCACGGTCAGCTCCCCCAGGCGAGGCTTGATGGGGGGCTCGGGGGTTGCGGTGGGAGGTTCTGAAGGCTTCTCCTCCTCCGGGACTGGACAGAGACATGGAAAGAGAGGACTGAGGTGGGCAGGGTATCCGCGGGACTCTGCTGTCCTCTGGACTCTCCCAGCCATCTGAAAGGAGGCATAGTGGGCAGAGTTCTCACCTGTCAGGGCCTCGACATGGACAGGACCTACATGCTTCCCATCACTGAAACCATACAGGGTCACCAGGTATCTGTGGTCGGATTCCAGGCCAGAGAGGGTGATGTCATTCCGGTCACCTCCTATGCGGACCATTTGGAGTTGCCCGTCTCTATCTGTGTACTGGATTTCGAAGGAGTCAAATTCTCCCTCAGTCACCATCCAGGAGAGATGCAGGGTGTGTGACGTGGCCTCCTCCACTGTCAACTCCCCGAGGTGGGGCTCAGGCGCTGGAGGGGTCGGGGCCGTGGTCTCAGTTTCCGTTTCTTCCCTGCCGGCTGGTTCACAGAGACAGGTAGAGACAGATGGCTGGTGTGTCGCTGCACCCAGACTCTCAGGAGGAGTGAGGGAGGAGAGGGAGTGAGGGCAAGCAGTCAGCAATCGAAAGACCAGCTTTTGCTGCACATGGGTGAATTTCAAAAGCATTGTGCTAATTGCAAGAAATGAAACACAAGAGACTGCGTATTGTGATTCCATTACATGGAGAGTCAAAATGCTGTCTCCAGGATGATCGAAAGCAGACAGTGGTTGCTGGAGGCTGGGACTGGGGCAACTGACTCTAAAGGGGCACAAGGAAACTTTCTGGATCAATGGAAATGATATAAAATGGGAAGCTCAGAGATCTTATGGCTCAGTCAGACCAGGAGAGCCAGGCGGGAAGGAGGCACAGGTGTTCCAGCTGCCGCACACTCACCAGTAATGGCGACGGCCGAGATGGGGCCCACACGCTTGCCGTGGTGCAGCCCGTAGAGCAGCAGCTTGTACCTGTGGGCAGGGTCCAGGCCCGGCACGCTGACCTCCCTGAGGCTGCCCTCCACGGGCACCACCTGGGGCTGCCCGTCCCTGTCTTTGTACTGGACCACAAAGGAGTCAAACTGGCCCTCAGGGACTGTCCAGGAGAGGCCCACGGAGTTCTGGGTCACGGTGGTCACCTGCAGCTCCTCCCCCAGACGGGGTTTTGGGGGACGCTTTGTTCCAGTATCATCCATAGCACTCCGGGCTTCTGAGATGGAGACACGGAGAGGAAACGGCTGAGCTGTTTCTGGAAGACTGGGTGACCTCGACGGGCAGGATTGAGAGGTCTGGAGACAGGGCTTTGCGTGGCTGAGTCCTGCCGGGCTGTGCTAGGGGCTTGTGCAGGGACGTGGGGAGCTGGATCTGAGCCGAGTGGCTGGGGCCAAATAATGGTAATGGCAGCCACCACAAGTGACCGTCTGCTGCTTGGCCTGAGGGGAGCAGAGCAGGGACCTGCAGGGAATGCCCCTCACCCGTGGTGCCGTCGGCAGTGAGAGGGCCATGGCGCTTCTTGCCCAGGAGGCCATAGAGGAGGAATCTGTACTTGCGGCCGGCATCCAGAGGGGTGACAGTGACAGAGCGCTCATGGCCCTCCACGGGCACCACCTGGGGCCCGTCTTTGTCCTTGAACTGGACCACAAAAGAGTCGAACTGGCCCTCAGGAACCGTCCAGGAGAGGCGCAGTGAGTCTGGGGTGGGGTCTGTCACCCACAGCTCCCCAAGGCGGGGTGGGGCCCCTGGGCTGGCGTCACCTCGGGCAACTGGAGAGGAAAGGTTCTTGTGTTTATTTTTTCCAAAACGACTCCTTGACTGCCTCCCTCTGGGGCTGGAAAAACCCAGAACTGCCCAAATGCTCAGTGCTTCCCCAAAATATTTCCATCACCTCCCATCCTCACCACCATCTCCGTCTGGTCCATGCCTCTCTCCCCTTGACCCAAGTGGGGAGGGTCACCTGTCCTGAGTCACCTCCAGGAAAAGAGATTCCCTAGCTCCCTGCCTCATCTTACTCCCCTTTCTGTCCAGCCTCTTTCCGCCTCTCACAGACTGCTTCCCCAGCAGGGTGCAGCTTCTTACAGACTGGGTCTCTATCTCCTCTTACCCAGGAGCACACGATTTGGCCGTGATTTGGCCGGCCCCTGAGGAAAGGGGTGATTTGGCCGGCCCCGAGGAGCGCAGGATCCCTGATGGGGGCACTCGGCAGGTCAGGGAGGCAGGATGTTACGACACAGGTAGTTCTCACCCTTCTCCGTTCCCTTTCTTATTCTGCACTGGCTGGCCCGGGAGAACTAAGGCTCCCACTGGGCCTGGTGAAGGAGCGTGGGCTGCCTGTGAGAATGTTGAGGGGGATGATGCCGGGGAGCTCAGGCAGGGAAGGGATCTGGTGTCTGCCTGAGGAGCCATCCCAGGGCTTGAGAAGGAGCTGGCCTGCTGCCTTCCTGGACGGTGAGGACGCTGACGACATTGTTATTGCAAGTTTTCTGGCAATAGGGAGCCCCCAGGGGCAGGGGAGGGCTTGGACTGAACCCTCGGAAAGGGGCACAGCTGGGCTGGGCTCCTCTGGTTCCCAATTTCTGAGACTTCAGGAGGAGGGCAGAGAAGGAAGGGCAGCCTCTGTAGGAGGCACATATGGGCCCAGACAGGCCTGAGCTAGGAGGGTGAGAACCTGGGTGAGAGTCACAGGGGAGACAACAAAGACTCTCAGGAGGTGATGGATTCGCAAGGCAGGAAGGGTTCCTGGCTCCCCTCGCCCCTTCTCCCAGCACCCCCAGGCTCCCACATCCACCCTGCAGGAAGAGGCCTGTAGGGGCTTCCCTCATCCAACAAAAGTGGAAATTACGAGAAGAGAGGCAGAGTCAGCAGGGGACAGCAGACCCAGGAACTGGCCCCACTCTCCTGGTCCTCATCTGCTTTGCGGCTTTTCTTTCTTTTTTTTTTTTTTTTTGGTCTTTTTTGAGACGGAGTCTGGCTCTATCACCCAGGCTGGAGTGCAGTGGCGCAATCTCAGCTCCCTGCAGCCTCCACCTCCTGGGTTCAAGTGATTCTTGTGCCTCAGACTCCCGAGTAGCTGGAATTACTAGCACCCATCACCACACCCAGCTAATTTTTGTCTTTTTAGTAGAGACAGGGTTTTGCCATGTTGGCCAGACTGGTCTCAAACTCCTGACCTGCCTTGGACTCCCAAAGTGCTGGGATTACAGGCATGAGTCACTGTGCTAGCCCCATGTGGCTTTTCAAATGAGACAGAGCAGGTGGACAAAGGGAAGACTCAGCAGAGGGAGTGAAGAGAAGGGTGGGAAGGCTGTGGCCTCAGGCTCAGCTGTGTAGGGGCCCATCTCACCCGTCTTTGCCTCCACAGAGACTGGGCTGCGTCGTTTCCCATCCTGGATCCCAAAGAGCAGGAACTTGTACTTGCGGGAGGGTTCCAGGTCAGGGATAGTGACCTCCCGCTGATCTGCAGCCACGGGCACCACCTGGGGCTGCCCGTCCCTGTCCTTGTACTGAACCACAAAGGAGTCGAATTCACCCTCAGGGACTGTCCATGAGAGGCCCACAGAGTCAGGGGTTATATCCGTCACTGTCAGCTCCCCTAGGCGTGGCTCCAGGGGAGGCTTGGAGGCCTCTGTGGCTGGGGCTGGTGGGAGGGGAGCTGGGATTTGGGAAGACAAAGAACATGGTTGAGATCTCTGAGGGGAGAACCCCTGGGCTTTGAGGGCCTCAGGGGGGCTGTGAACTGAGATGGGGAATAGTTACACCTTTACTTCCAGACCTCTAACTGAAATGCAGCATTTCTTTCCAAAACTAATATAGAAAACCCACCAGAGTAGAATTATTGTGACTTTGTTACCAATAGAAACCACAGATGTTTTCATGTCACCTTAGAGTTATTGCAGAAACTTTAAAATACCTTTTATATCCATCACTGCTTCTAAATTTTGTAGTTTAGTAAACGCGCCACCAAGTCCTGTTATTTAATGAACTAGTAAATAAGTCCAAGTATTACTAAATCGTAACTTTGGATTTTTAAGAAATATTTTGGGCCGGGTGCAGTGGCTCATGCCAGGCCGAGGCGGGTGGATCACCTGAGGTCAGGAGTTTGAGGCCAGCCTGGCCAACATGGCGAAACCCTGTTTCTACTAAAAATACAAAAAATTAGCTGGGTGTGGTGGCACGTGCCCGTAATCCCAGTTACTCGGGAGGCTGAGGCAGGAGAATTGCTTGAACTTGGGAAGCGGAGGTTGCAGTGAGCCGAGATCGCGCCATTGCACTCCAGCCTGGATGACAAGAGCAAAACTCCATCTCAAAAATAAAAAAGAAATATTTTGATAACTGTCTATAAATATAATGTTTCCTTTGTAATCCTATACAGCTTATTTTACAGATTTAAAAACATTGCCTTCAGGTGGGGTAGGGGTTTCACCAGATGCCACAGCACAACAATCATGGAGAACCTGTGCCCAGGAAGCCATGAGGGGCAGGAAGGAGCCCAGAGCAAGAGTGAGGCAGCCTCCTGGAGAGATGAAAACTCTCCAGGGCTGGGATGGAATGCAGTGCAGGCAGGTGGCAGAGGACTCCTGAGAAGGGACTCAGGATGTAAAGCACTTCGCCTCAACAAAAAAGGGCAGAAGCAGGAGGTGGCAGCTGTGTCCAAGTCACAGCAGGGTTGTAAAGAGAAGGGGTGGAAACAGCTGTGGGCAGTCGGAGAGGGGGAGAGAAAGTCTGTGGCTGGATTTAGGCCAAATGGAAATAAGACATTCCCCTGGGCGGGGGGCAGAGTGGAGATGGGGAAGGAGCTGGAGGGCTGAGAAGGCTCTAGCCCTGGGAGGAGTAAAGGGGTCAGGGAACAGAAAGACTGGCAGGGTCACCGAGCCAGGGCCTGAGGGGATCTAGCCCCTCAGTGAGGGTGCGGTGGTACCAAGGCAGGGCTGGAAGAAGGGCCATGGGGTGGGGGAGCTCTGGGTAACCAGAGATGAGGACTGAGTCCCCCCATTACTCACCCGTCACGATGACCACAGACAGGGGGCCCATGCGTTGCCCATCATGTAGTCCATACATGTTCATCTTATATTTTCTCTCAGGCTCCAGGTTGTAGACTGTGACCTCTCGCTGGTCTGCCGCCACCGGCACCACCTGGGGCTGCCCGTCCTTGTCCTTGTACTGGACTATGAAGGAGTCAAACTGGCCCTCGGGGACTGTCCAGGAGAGGCCCACAGAGTTGGGGGTCACATCTGTCACTGTCAGCTCTCCTAGGCGTGGCTCCAGCGGGGACTCAGTGGCTGGAGGGGTCTCTTCTTGTTGTGGGGCTGGGACAGAGATGGTAGGGGGCTGTTAGTAAAGAATCCCCCTTTTCTTATAGTAATGATGTCTAGTTATTTATTTTTTATTTTTTATTTTTGAGATGGAGTCTCGCTGTCACCCAGAGCAGTGGGCGACCTCGGCTCACTGCAGCCTCTGCCTCCCGGGTTCAAGCGATCCTCCTGCCTTAGCCTCCCAAGTAGCTGGGACTACAGGCGTGCGCCACCATGCCTGCCTAATTTTGTGTGTGTGTGTATTTTTAGTGGAGACGGCATTTGCCATGTTGGCCAGGCTGGTCTCAAACCCCTGACCTCAGGTGATCCACCTGCCTCAGCCCCCAAAGTGCTGGGATTACAGGTGTGAGCCACCACACCCAGCGATGTCTGTTGCATTTGTGGAACCCGCATGATGGTTTTGATGTAAAAGCGCATTGATCTGAACATCTGTCTGGTCAACAGTCCTTCACTAGGTCCCTGCTCGGTGTCTGAGGCTGCATTTGTTGGGGGAGAAGAGTATCAACCATCACTGACACCCTGGGAGAGCGCTGAAATTCCATCTATATGCCAATGACTCCAGATTTACACCCTCTGTCCAGACCTCCCCTGAACCCCAGACTAGTGTTCGTGCAACGTCTTCCTTGGAGGCCTACTTGTGTGTCAAACTCAACAAGTCCAAAACTGAGCCTCTGAGCTTCCTGACACCTGCTCCCGCCACAGCCTCCCCACCTCAGTAAGATTACAACTTTTTTTTTTTGAGACGGAGTTTCGCTGTTGTTGCTCAGGCTGGTGTGCGATGGCGCCCTCTCGGCTCACCGCAACCTACGCCTCCTGGGTTCAAGCGATTCTCCTGCCTTAGCCTCCTGAGTAGCTGGGATTACAGGCATGTGCCACCACGTCCGGCTAATTTTGTATTTTCAGTAGAGATGGGGTTTCTCCACGTTAGTCAGGTTGGTCTTGAACTCCCGACCTCAGGTGATCCGCCCGCCTCGGCCTCCCCAAGTGCTGGGATTACAGGCATGATCCTCCACGCCTGACCAGGATTACAACTTCATTCTTCCAGCTGCTCAGATCTAAACCGCCAGAGTCATCCCCGAGTCCTCTCTTAAACTCCACATCCGCCCTGTGGGTATCCGCCTGTTGTCACTACCTTCAGAGTCTGACCCCTCCTTGCCACCTCCAAGCACCACTGGCTCCTCCTGGATTATCACAACATTCTCTCAGGTCATCGCCTTCTGCCCTCACCCCCCTTTAGTCTGTTGGGTCTGCAGCCAGAAGGATCCTGTTAACACATTAGCCAGAGCTGGTTCCCGCAGTGGCTTCTACCTCACTCAGGGTGAAATCCAAGTCCTGCACTGGCCTCTGAGGTCCCATATTCATCTCTTAGATCATTCCCTATTGCCTGCCCTCCTCCAACTCCACCACAAAACATACTGCATTCCTCACTGTCTGCAGACATCTGGGGCTGCTTCTCGCCTGCCAGTCTCTGCATTTGCTCTTCCTTCTGTCTGGGATGCTCTTTCCCCAAAGGCCTAGGTGGCTGTCCTCTCACCTCCTTCAGGGCTTTCCTCAGACACTGCCCTCGCAGTGAGGCCCTTGCTGTCTCCCTACTAGGCTCTGCTTTTCCCCACCACTCATCACTGTCACATCCGGTGCCACTGACATATTTGTGCAATTTGTTGCCTGTCCCTCTCCACTAGAATGTGAGCTCCTCAGGCAGGAGCTCTGCTTTATTCACTGCTGTGTCCCAGTCCCTGGCACACAGTAGGTGCTCCACAGATGTCTGTAAAATAATGAGTGGTCTACAGGTCTGGGCTCAGGACCTGCAGATCCCCACCACTCCCGCATGAGGAAGCACTCATTAGTGAGCAAACTAGAAGGTGGTCCCAAGAGGCAAAATGGCAGAGAAGGTGGCTGGATGGGTGGGGCTCCCAAGAACTTGTTTCTCTGGCTTCCTCCGGAGGGCAAGACAAGGCTCCAAGCAAGTGACAACTGCTTAAAACAGGCTGGTGACCAGGCCTCGGGCAGACAGAAATGAGTCAGGCTGGGGAGGGCAGGCATGGAGGCAGCTGAGGTGGTGGGAGGGAGCAGAGTGACCACCAAGTATTGAACATCTACTATGTACAGGTACCAGGCTGGGCATTTTCTCTCATTTCATTTGCCTTCTAACCTTACTTGTTCCTGCAGCACCCATTCCCTGCTCCTTTTTGCCCTCTCTGCACTTCTTTCCATGAGGGAATGAAAATGTCCTTCACCATCAAGCTTTATTGCTGGTGGTTTGGATTAACTGGAAAGGTACAATTATAACGATTCATGACTCTGGCAGTCCCCATGCTGCATGTGGGACAGTCCTTTTCCAATTTAGAAGTGTGTCTAATGAGCTCCACGCACCTCTCCCCCTGGCAACTGCACTGTGTGTGCTGCCAGACACAGCCCCCAGCTTGGCGGACTCCAGCTGCTTCGTCCTTTTGCTGCTCTGATAATGCGCACTGATGCCCATTTCTTTCCTAAAGGGCCTCATCTATTTTATCCAGGACGTGTAAAATACATGTTTCAAAATATCCAGCATTAGAACATGGATATACAGGGATTCCCTCACGGGAAGGTCTGAGCAAAAGATGAATGAGCTGAGAAGATGCCAGACATGTTACATCACCACCTTTAACCGTGACAACAAGCTGGGCAGCGTTTACTCCCTCCTGAATATGAGGAAGCTGAGGTTCCAGGAGAGGAGGTAAGTTTTTCAAGATCATACAGCTGGCTGGGCACGGTGCCTCACGCCTGTAATCCCAGCACTTTGGGAGGCCAAGGCGGGTGGATCATCTGAGGTCAGAAGTTCGAGACCAGCCTGGCTAACATGGTGAAACCCTGTCTCTACTAAAAATACAAAAATTAGCCGGGTGTGGTGGTGGGCGCCTGTAATCCCAGCTACTTGGGGGGCTGAGGCAGGAGGACTGCTTGAACCTGGGAGCCAGAGGTTGCAGTGAGCTGAGATCATGCCACTGCACTCCAGCCTGGGTGACAAAGCAAGACTCTGTCTCAAAAAAATAATAATAAAATAAAAAAATAAAAATCATACAGCTGAGAACAGAGGAAGACAGGAAGGAACTCAGTTTGTCAGATTCCCAAACTCCATTTATCTCTACTGCACCGACTTGGTCAGTGCCTGACAGAGCCCATCCTTACCCCAGGGACCAGGCACAGGGCCTCACAGAGCCCAGTGTGGGTCCCTGGGACAGAGCGGCAGAGGGAGGGTCACTCCAGGAGCAGACTTGGCAGCATGTCTGGGCCTGGCACCAGCCTCCACCCTACAACCTCAGGCCCCAAGGACAGCCACTCAGGGTGGCTTTGCCGTCTCCCTCTTCTCAGGGCTGACTGAGGCAAAGAAAATAAATTGAGGGTGGAAGGTTCTGGAAATGAAATCAACCAAGTCATGATGAGGCTGAGCTTGGTGGAATTACAGAAACCATGTTCTGGAAAACTATCTATTTCTCTACTTTTAATTTTTTAATCTTTCCCCTTATAGTAAAAGTTATTTTTGAGAAAGGTGTGTCTTTGTTTCTGTGAGCAAAGGAAAAAAGAGATTCCCCTCACTGTGACTAAACCGGGCAGGTCAGCCCGAGGGTCCCAGAGGCACTGCTGTCCACTCAGCCTCTTGGGCTGAGGCCCTGGAGAGGAGGTGCCCAGGCTGGTCCTGTGTGGTGGTGGATGTGGCCCTGTAACCAGGCCTGAGAGAAAGGGTGGAAGGGATGTTCTTCTTTGCTGTAAAGTCACTCACTGGATGAGTATTAAAGAAAGCCTTGTGGCCGGGCGTGGTGGCTTATGCCTATAATCCCAGCACTTTGGAAGGCCAAGGCGGGTGGATCACTTGAGGTCAAGAGTTTGAGACCAGCCTGGCTGACATGGTAAAACCCCATCTCTATTAAAAATACAAAAATTAGCCAGGTGTGGTGGTGCATGCCTGTAATCCCAGCTACTCGGGAGGCTGAGGCAGGAGAATCACTTGAACCTGGGAGGCAAAGGTTGCAGTGAGCCAAGATTGCACCACTGCATTCCAGCCTGGGCAACAGAGCTCAAAAAACAGAAAGAAAGGAAAAAAAGAAAGAAAGAGAGAGAGAGAGACAGAAAGAAAGAGAAAGAAAGAAAGAAAGAAAGAAAGAAAGAAAGAAAGAAAGAAAAAGAGAGAAAGAAGAAAGAGAAAGCTTTGTGGTCAGGCGTGGTGGCTCACGCCTGTAATACCAGAACTTTGGGAGGCCGAGGCAGGTGGCTCACTTGAGGATCTGGAGTTTGAGACCAGCCTGGCCAACACGGTGAACCCCGTCTCTACTAAAAATACAAAAAAGTAACCAGGTGTGGTGGCACGCATCTGTAGTCCCAGCTATTTGGGAGGCTGAGGCAGGAGAATCACTTGAACTTGGGAGGCAGAGGTTGCAGTGAGCTGAGATCGCACCACTGCACTCCAGGCTGGGCAACAGAGTGAGACTCTGTCTCAAAAAAAAAAAAAAAAAAAAAAAGACAAGAAAGAAAAGAAAGCTTGCTTCAAGCTGTACTGATGAAGAGGCCAATGTCTCACGCGCATTCTCCCATCCAAGTACTAACCAGACCTGACCCTGCTTAGCTTCTGAGATCAGAGGAGATGATAGGACACCTTCAGGGTGGTATGGCCTTAGATTCATGTGCATTCTGACCAAGTAACTGAACCAGCCAAAGGGGACAAAGCAGACCTCAGAGTAAGAATATTTATAACAATTCTCACAGCAGACACTGGCAGCATATTTACTTTTGCCAGGCCCATTCTTGATGCTTTACATCTGTTAACTCACTTAACCCTCACAATAACTCTGTGAGGTAGGTGTCCCCATTTTACGGACAAGGAAACAGAGGTGCAGAAAGTTTAAAACTTGCTCAGGGCCATGAAAGCTGGTGGTACGCCAGTCCCCAGTGACATGCTCTTTCTAGGTCTTCCCCTGGCAGGCAGCCTCAAGGTTCCACTGGAGCAAGGAGAGCAACTGGCTACAGGGAAGCTGGGAGCCAGCAGTGGGAGGGAACCAAAGCAGGCCCCTGCCCCTCACTCACCTGTCACGCCCACGGCGGACACCGGGCCCACGCGCTGCCCCTCGTGGAGGCCGTACAGGTGCATCTTGTACTTGTGCCCGGGCTCTAGGCCTCCCACGGTGACCTCACTCTCCTTGCCCCCAACACGCACCGCCCGGGGCCGCCCATCCCTGTCCTTGTACTGCACGGTGAAAGAGTCGAAGCTGCCCTGGGGGACGGTCCAGAAGAGGCTCAGCGAATCAGGGGAGGATCCTGTCACTGTCAGCTCCCCCAGGAGCGGCTCCTCGGGGGACTCCGGGGCCTCCGTGCCCAGTTCTGTGGGGCTGGGGGTCTCGTCCACATCCTCCTGAGGAGCTGAGAGAAGAGATAGAGGCATAAAGGGCTGCTGGCTTTGCTGCTGCTGCCCACAGATGACAGCCATGGAAATGCCCTTACGCTGTGGGCTCAGGGGCTCTGTAGCCTTTGTATTTGCCATTCGGTCACTCACGGATGGAGAAGGCTGAGACAGCCCTTGCCCCATCCTGCTCTGGTGGGTTCTGTGGGGGTGAGGGGTCTCCCTTCGTGTCTGAGAAAGGAGCTGAGATGGGAAGAGAGGAAGCCTCTGAGGGTTCTTCCAAACCACGTTCACTGACAGTGCTGACCTCAGACAGTGAGGAGGGCAGTGAGGCCTCTTCCTACCTGTGCCCTCCCCAGGGCACTCTGGCTGCCCCACCCCTCATATGAGGATCTGACCATGGAATGTGCTCTTGCTGTGGCCTCCCCAGGCAGCCCTGCCCCTCCCTCCCCTTTAACCCCAAGGAATGAATTGCTAAGGCAGGGCTCCAGGCATGAGTGGGAGAAAAATTCTGGGGTGAGTGGGATCCAAGGAGAGACATGTCCTTCCCTGGCTGGCTCTGGAATCACAGCCCTGTGGGCACCTACCCGCCCCCTACAGTTAGGTCTCTGCTGAGGCTCCATGGAGTGGGGAGACTGTGGCACAAGGGAAACCAGCCCTTCTGTGACCTGCTACATGGGGGACTACTTTGGGATAGCAGATTGAGGAAAGAATTGGCAAGAATGACAACCCAGAGGAAGGGAGGGAGGTGGGGAGCAAAAAAGATTACTGGGAAGTGAGAGAGTCAGGGAGAAATTGCAGCTCACTCTGAAAATGCTTTGCTGCTCCAAGCACTATTCTAAGTGTGTGGGCTTTTTTTGTTTTTGTTTTTGTTTTTTTTTTGAGATGGAGTCTCACTCTGTCGCCCAGGCTGGAATGCAGTGGCGCGATCTCGGCTCACTGCAAGCTCCGCCTCCCGGGTTCACGCCATTCTCCTGCCTCATCCTCTTGAGTAGCTGGGACTACAGGCACCTGCCACCATGCCTGGCTAATTTTTTGTATTTTTAGTGGAGACACGGTTTCACCGTGTTAGCCAGGATGGTCTCGATCTCCTGACCTCGTGATCCACCCGCCTTGGCCTCCCAAAATGCTGGGATTACAGGCATGAGCCACTGTGCCTGGCCTTTCTAAGTGTTATACATATATTAACTCATGTAATTCCAACAGCTCTGTGCAGAGGGACTGAAATCCAGCCACCTGACAGAAGGGAAAGCTGAGGCACAGAGAGGTTAAGCAATTTGCACAAGGTCCTACAGGAAGTAAGTTGCAAGGCTGGTAGTGAGACTCGGGCAGTTGGCTCCGGAGTCTTTGCTCCTAACCACTATCCACACTATCTCTCATCAAATAATTCACAGGCCAGGGGAATGGCACTGGACAGGGAAAGGCTGGGGACATGGAGGAACAGGCTGGGATGCTGGGCTGAACACAATCCCTTTGCCCTGTTCCAAGGGGGCTGGGAGTCAAGGAGTCGGGAGCTGAGAGGAGTCCTCTTCATGCTGCAAAAAGGCTAGAGAAACGTGGTGCTCTTGTCACTTGGATCTGCCACCTCTGAACACAGCAGAAATGGCAGGAGGTTGTGGGCAGCAGGTGACAGAAGCCCAGAAGTGACCATGGCCCAAACCAGACCATGAAGGAGCCCAGTAAAAACTGAGGGGTGAGAACACAGTGACCGAATGGTGAGGACATCTGTGGGGAGGACAGCCCCAGGTGGAAGGATGAGTCCAGGTGTTTGGAATGGGGGAAAATAGGACCTGCCCTTGGAGATGAAGAAGTGAGGCTGAGGAAGAGATGAGGAGGTGGAGGCTGGATGAGGGGGACCTGGCATGCAGAGGACAGGAGAGCAGTGCGGGAGGAAGTGGGTGGAGGCTTTGGCAAAATGAGCTGAGAAGGCGAAGATGGAGGGAGGCTGGAAGGAGCCCCAGCCAAGTCCCGCTCACAGGATGGGGCTAGCAGGGGAGGGAGGCCTGGCAGCCATGACTCACCAGTCTTGGCCACCACAGACTCGGGCCCCACACGCTGCCTGCCACGAAGCCCGTAGAGGTTCATCTTATACTTCCGGTCGGGATCCAGGCCGGGGACAGTAACCTCATTCTCATCCCCCGCAACAGGCACTGCCTGGGGCTGCCCCTGTGCATCCTTGTACTGGACCATGAATGAGTCGAAGGGGCCCTGGGCCACTGTCCATGAGAGACGCAAGGAGTCTGGGGTCACGCCGGTCACTGTCAGTTCCCCCAGGAGGGGCTGCTCCAGGAACTCAGGGCGGGGGGGCTCCTCTTTCCTCTCTGGAGCTGTAAACAAGGAGATCCAGCCAGGTGCTGAACTGGCAGCCTGGGACTGGGGCTTGGGGTTTCGACGGGATGTCACACCTATGGGGGGTGGGGGGTCACTAGTCCATTAATTCGAGTG
This sequence comes from Homo sapiens, assembly GCF_000001405.40. Classification (NCBI taxonomy): domain Eukaryota; kingdom Metazoa; phylum Chordata; class Mammalia; order Primates; family Hominidae; genus Homo; species Homo sapiens. The sequence goes on from NT_167247.2 coordinate 3,423,823, forward strand.
CTAAACTTCTGGGAAGCCTGACACAGCCAGGGTATGACACACCTTCTGGGCCACGGGGAGCTGCTGCTTGGGATGGAAGGGGCCCAGCAGTGCGGGGGAGTCTGGCTGCCCCTCAGCCCTGGAGTGGGGCCGGGAAGCTGGAGTCAGCTGTCTTGCTGGGGGACCCCAGCTGGTTTTGGGCTGAAGGGAAGTGTGCATGGGGCTGAGAAGGGGTCACATGGGGGCTGAGGTGGCTGCTACTCACCAGTGGTGCCATCGGCCGTGAGGGGGCCATACCGCTTCTTGTTCGCAATTCCAAACAGAGTGAATCTGTACTTGTGGTCAGGGTCCAGTGAGGAGACAACAAATGAACGCTCGGGCCCTTCCACAGGTACCACCTGGGGCCGTCCATCCCTGTCCCTGTACTGGACCATGAAGGTGTCAAACTGGCCCTCAGGGACAGTCCAGGAGAGGTGCAGTGAATCTGGGGTAGGGTCTGTCACCCACAGGTTTCCCAGGCGGGGTGGAGTCCCTGGACTTGGGTCACTCTGAGGCACTAGGAAGAGTGGGTAGAGAGAAGGGAGAGACTTAGGTCCAAGGAGAATGGGGAAGCCAAATCCCACATAGGAATGCTGTGTGAGGCTGTGCAGGTTGTTCACTGCACAAAAGTGCATTTGCTGAGGGAGTACAGAGGGACTGAAATCCAGCCAGCACTCTGCTTGCCGAGCTGTGTGCCCTGGTGAGGAGTGGTGTCCACTTTAAGGAATGGGTGCCTTCTTTCAAACGGCATGGAAGCACTGCGTGGACTAGTGTGGCTCTGCCTCCAACCACAAACCAGAGCAGCAGGGAGCTTCAGAAAGAGGGGAGCCCAGCCAGGCCCTTTCACATCTCCATAGCCAGGGAAATCTTCCCAGTACAACCTCCACTGCTTCCAAGCCTAACTACTAGCTGGCTTCTTCTCCAAGAGAGGAGAGCACAATCCTTGAAGCGTTTTAATGTGGGACAGCCTCCCTCATCTATGCTGCAGGCCTCTCCTCCTCTTTGGGAACTTTGACCCATGGATGGACTCCCTCGCCTGCAGCACTGACCCTTCACTCCCCAGCAGTTGTGCCATCAGCATTTCAACAAGCTACTGTCACACCCCTCCTCACCCCCACTCTGTGTGCATCTCTCTCTAGCCTCCATCTTCCCTCTTTGCTCTCATTCCCAGCCCAGATTCCAGAAAGTGATGTCTACACTGATTGCAGCCATGTCCTCACCTCCACCACCCTCCCGATCCAGCTCCACCCCTCCACCAGGCAGCAGCTCTCATGCAGGCCAGGGGTGGCCTTGCCATTGCTAAATTCTGTGGACGCTCCGTAGCCCTTGAATCACTGTTCCGGAATCTGACAAGTCCAACCGCACCCTCCTTCCTGGAGTCCAGACAGCACCCTCCCTGGTTCTGCCCCTCCCTGCAAGTCACTCCGCAAGCTACCCTGTGGGCTCTTCTTCCTCTGCCTCCGCTGTGAGTGTAGGCTGTCGACAGGGTTCCAGTGGCCCTGTCTCTTCCCCAACCCCACACGACTACTCTGGTGCCTCAATTCTCCTGACCTATAAAGTAGGCATGCCTCCCAGGTGTGCTTTATGGGGTGTGATGATCCACTTAGAGAACATCTTGATCACAACTGACTCTCAATAAATGCACAAAAGGTATTTATGTAAGTGTCTCTTAGATATTGATCTAAGTTTATCTAAGGCGTTGTTCCCCACCTCTGCTGCTCCCTGCCTCAGGGAATGGGACTGTCTCATCCAGAACCCTGGGGGCTGCCTGGTACACCTTGCTTTCCTTCGCCTCCCCCATCCAGCCCCACTGCCACCATCCCAGCTGACCCATCATCATTTTTCTTTTTTTTGAGACAGGGTGTTGCTCTGTGCAGAGTGTGGATAGCACCCAGGCTGGAGTACAGTGGCACAATCATGGCTCTCTGCAGCCTCGGTCTCCTGGGCTCAAGCGATCCTCCCACCTCAAGCCTCTCAAGTAGCTGGGACTACAGGCACGCACCACCACGCCTGGCTAATATCTTTTGTTATAGTAGAGATGGGGGGTCTCACTATGTTGCCAGGTTGGTCTCAAACTCCTAGCCTCAAGCGATCCTCCTGCCTTGGCCTCCCAAGGTGCTGGGATTATAGGCAGGATCAACCCTGCTAGCCTTTACCAGCTCTTAACTCACTTCTCCAGCTAGTCTCAGCAGCCACCCGGTTATTTGCAAGATAAATATCTAGTCTCATCACTCTCCCACTTTACCCTTCAGAGGCCCTCTAGGGGCCTTCGAATGAGGCCCAAGCCCCTCAGCACAGCACAGGAAGCCCTGAGACCAGGCCCTTTGGCACCCCCCACATGCCCTGTTCTCCAGCCAGAGGAAACTGTAACAGTGATTCTCTTACTGGCCATGCTCTCCCCACCTTACTCACCGTGACTCCCTCAGGCTGCACTGAGCTTCTCAAACTCTTTGCCTGCCCCACCACTACTTTCCCTTCAGAATTCAGCTCATGCACCACTGCCTCCAGGAAGCCTTCCCGGAGCTCCCAAAGCAGGTTCCCAAAGCACTGAGAAAACCTCTTCAGGGCAGTACAGAGGGCAGGGTGTTACTGCTGTCACTCACAGATCTTGGCTTCAGCCACCAGCGGACCATGCCTCTTCTTGCCAACAAACCCATACAGGACAAATTTGTACTTGCGGCCAGGATCCAGGGAGGTGATGACGGCCGAGCGCTGGGGTCCTTCCACGGGCACCACCTGGGGCTGCCCGTCCCTGTCTTTGTACTGGATCACGAAGGAGTCAAACTCGCCCTCGGGGACCGTCCAGCGCAGGAGCAAGGAGTCGGAGGTCCTGTCTGTCACCGTCAGCTCACCCAGGCGTGGTGGGCCTGAGGACTTCCCAGGCTTCTCCTCATCCTTGTCTGGAGTTTGAGAGGCAAAAGCAAAGCATAGTGGACTCAACCGTTCTCTTGTCTGTGTCTCCTTCCCTCTCCCCTGCCCACCTCACTCCATCCTGGATAGATCCCTCCCCGGAAGACTCTATCTGCCCACCCCTCAGTGACTAGCTCTTCTGGAAGAGGGGCATTTCCCTCTCAATCTCTGCTTCTTCCCTTGTGACAGTTTCTCCATCCCTCACAAGGTCTTGGTCTCTCTGCACACCAGGATCTTTGCGGGGGTTTCAGGTCCCCCTGGTTCTGAATGAGAGTTTCAAGCCTCCCTGCTGCAGCATCAGAGCAGTCTGAAAGCTCCTCTGCCCACCTGAGCTGCTGTCTCTCTTACCACCCTCTCTTCCAGTGGTGAGCTTGACCTGGAGCTGGGGGATGAGTCAGCCACCCTGGTCCCACAGAGAGGAACAAAGAGGGGATGTGAAAGCCAGGTACCCCAGGACCTGTCTTTCACTGGTCCTGCAAACCTCATCCATGTCTGAAGTCCTGATGGCTGTGGAGCCCCCTGCCCCAAGGAGCCTTCACCCCCAGCAGAAACTGGCTGATGGGACCATGGACTGCTGTCCACTGCAAACCAGGCTCCCAGGGACGAGGTATTGGGGGCTGAGGGTCAGTGTCCAGAGGCCTTCCCATGCCCACCCTGAAAGATTTATAGGGCAGGGAAGGGCAGAGGAGCAACCGAAGAGTGGGGGCAGGGGACAGGGCAAGGAAAGCTGCAGGTGGAGGGCCAGGGACCTTCAGCCTCTCTCCTGGAATCTCTGTCCCACCCTCGGCCTTTTTACCTCTGCCTCTTTCCCCTCTCCCCACCCATCCTTATCATTGTTTTAAGATCCCCCTCGATCCATCTTCCTGCTGAACCTGCAATTCCTTTTCTCTCCTTTTCTCCTCTATCCAGCCCCAAACATCAGCCCTGCCCTTCACTGGCCCCTCAATATCCATCCTACCTCTGAAGTCCCAATAACCCCAGCTCCTCCCCCAATCTCAGGATATTGATCTGAGCAGAGTCCAAGATGTACCCATAATGCCTTGGTAGATGATGGGGTCAGAGGGCTTGCCCCCAGGAGGGACCCCATGAAGTGACAGCTCATACGGGGTTCCAGGAGGGGGTGGAGGCACCAGAGCCTGGCGGACGTCCCCTGGCAGCACTTCCTCATGTGCCCCCGGCCCCTCGGGCACCCGCATGCGCAGTTGGAAGTAGGCAAAGGTGTCAGGCTGGGCGGTCCAGACCACACGGAGGCGCCCTGTCTCATCTCTGCCCAGCACCCTCAACTCTCCCAGCTCCTGGGGGCGCTGCTGCAGGAGAGGAGCCTGGGCCCCTTGCGTCGTCGAGGGGCCTGAGGGAGGAGGCTCATCGGTAGTCCCCAAGAGGCCCAAGGGTGAGGACCCTGGGAAGGGGCAGGGTGAGAAAAAGAGGAGAGTCCAGTATGAGAACTAGAAAGGAATCCCCAGTCCCCAGGTTCTGCCCTCCAGCCTCTAAGAGCCTTGTTCTACTTCTACTTCTGGTTCCCTCACCTGGGCCACTCCCTCCTCCCAAAGGTCAGCCAATCCTCCAAACACCCCCATCTACCACATTCCTGAGCAGACGGGCCTGTGCTTCAGGCAGGTAATAGGTAAAATAAAGCCTGCTATCCTTCACCCCACAAGGCTTCCATGACCTCCAGCCCCCGGAGACTTCCATGTCCCTCCCCACATACATCCCCCCCACTGGGTGGTGGTCAGGTGGCTTCCATTAGTGCTGCAGTGAGAAGCCTGGAAGAAAGACAGTGGTGTTAGAGAGGGAGGATGCAAGAGGAGAGTGGGCAGTGGGAAGAGAGAGAGGGTGTGGGGGTGGACATCCAGGTCAGGTGGCATCTGGGCCCTATGGGGGAAGAAGAGGTCCACCACCCTCCCCACAGCAGCCACAGGGTGCCCTTTCCCCAAGCCCAGACATCGTTCCTGTGGGAGAGACCAGCATAAAGTGAGCCAGGGGGTCTGAAAAGCCAGCTTAAGAAGCAGTGGTTTCACCTCCCCAATATACAGTTGCTGCCTGATGGCACCCAGGCCACCCCCACGCAGTTCTGATGTGTCCCTTCAAGGTCAAGGCCAAATTGTGGAAAACAGTAACCACTAACCACAGTCTTCAGCCACTCTCACCACAGTGAGTCAGAACGGGAATCACTGTTTTCAATTCCCAGCCCACTCAAACTGCTCCAGTGAATCTTTGCAGGTGCCCCAACCACATCACCCTCTATTGCCTAAAATAACAATCCTGGAAGTGTCCCGGGAAACCCCAAAGAAGGCGCTGCCTTGACCTTAGGCATCCACAGGATGGATGCCAGGACCCTGGGGTGGGGACGTCTTCTAGGGACAATGGACTCGTGCTTTGTCCTGGGGGCCCCCTGGAGCCCCGGCCAGGTAGGGCCTGAAGGTAGAAGGGGGCAGTGGGGGGTGGCAGTGGGAGGAATTCATGAATGCAGGCTCCAACGGCAGGTGAGGCTGGACAAGGGATAGGTGTCCCGTGGCCCCAGCCCACACTACCTGTGGTGGTGATGAAGGCGTAGGACTTGGAGGTCTGCCCCGCCCGCACCCCGTGGACCTCCACGTGGTAGGTGGTGCCGGGCCTGAGGTCGGGCAGGCTGACGGTGCGCGTGGTGCCCGGCACAGTCAGCTCACCGCCGGGGCCCTCTGCAGGCGGCTGAGGCCGCCAGCGCAGCACCACGCGCTCGAACTGGCCGCGGAGCCCGTCGAGAGACACGAGAAGCGCGCCATCGGCGGAACTGCCCAGCACCTCTGGCTTGGGGTGGCGGGACGCAGCCACCCGGTCGACGCCTTCAGGCGAGAGGCCGTAGATTCCCTGGTTGGAGTCCCGTTTCCTGGTGCCGGGATCAGGGCTGGCGGTGGGGCGGGGGTGGCGGGGCGGGGGTGCGGGGGAGCCGGCTGGGGCGGCGGCCAACAGACGCCGCTGCAAGTATTCATGGATGTGGCGCGCCACCGACATGTAAGTCTGGTTGGCCCGCAGTGGGTAGCCGTGAGCCCGCAGGTGGCGCTCCAGGTCCTGCACCGTGCCGCGGAAACGGCTCAGCTCGGCCGTCAGGTTGCCCCAAGGCCGCCGTGGGGGCTGGGACAGGCTTGGCCTGGGCGGGGACTCCTCCTCCCTTTCCTCTGCTGGCCTCGAGGGCCAAGGGGGCCGTGGGGGCCGCGGGGCTGGGGCTGGCCGGGGCCGGGACTTGGGGGGCGGGGCTGGGGGGCGCACCTCCGGGTAACTGTAGTGGCCTGGTGCTGCCAGGGGCAAAAAAGGGGAGAACAGGTCAGTGGCAGCTCCCTCCCGGCACTCCTTCCCGCGGCAGCCCCTCCCTCGATCCCTCCCACCAGAGCCAGAGGCCTCTTCCCTGTGCCCCAGCCCCACCTGGAAAGAGAACGGAGGGAAATCGGTCAGTGTCCCGCAGCCCCCCCATTCCCCTCCAAGCCCACCACTGTTGGTGCCCTAGAAAGAAGAGAGAAGCCCGTGGGTGGGGCCCTGTAGCTGAAGGAGAGAAAGGGGAGTCGGGGAAGAGAACATGAGCTACAGCGAGGTGGGTGTCCCCCTGTCACAGGAAAAGAAAAATATCCAGGTATCTGTTAAGAAACCTCGAGGTTTAGTGGAAAATCACTGCTGTGAGACCCACCTCCCAGCAATCCCAATCCAAAAGTCAACAGGACTGATGATCTCTAATCTGCCTAATTCCAGTCCCACAAGATCTATCAGCACAAGGCCTGTCCCGGTACCTAAATTTAAAAAAGAACCTCCCTTAACTGACTGGATCAGGCAGCATCTCCTATTCACTTCTCTCCCTGGGGCCATTCCTTTCATAGGCTAACCTGTAACCTTCCTACAGGACTCCAGGCATCTGAGGGCTCTGTCTCCCCAGTGGCCTCAGGACAGAGCAAGGCCCCCAGCAGGTGCCTCGAGACTGCCACACACCTGCCAGAAGCATTCAGAGGAGTCTGTGAGCCCTGAGCCTGGGCTCCTGAGGAGGAGGATCCAAGGCTGGGAAACCAGGGCCCTTCCCTAACCTCTGGCCAGCCATACCTGTGTTGGCCCTGACAGAAGCTGGGTAGCTGACTGCCCGGCCCCGCTCCGCTGTGACAGTCACCACATATTCTACGCCTGGCATCAGGTCAGTCAGCAGCGTCCCGTCTGCTTCAGGGGGCACTTCCAGCCTCACCCTCTGGTTGCCGGCACTGACGTAGGACACCACAAATCGGTCCACCTCAGCCTGGGGACGCAGCCAGCCAAGCTCCAGTGTTGTCGGTGTCACAGCCACCACTCGGAGGTCCTGGGGCCCATCGATCACTAGCCAGGTTAAAGAGGAGGACTCAGGTGGGTGTCTGGTTCTTCAATCATCATCTTTCCTTCCAAGAGCCTAGCCCCCATCCAGCCCCTTCCTTCTGCCCTCCCGGAGGGCAGATTCCCTCTCTAGTCCAGATCTCCACTCAGGACACCCCTCCCCACAGCCCCAGCTCTCACTGGTGGTGATGGTCTTGGAGGCAGGAAGGCCCCAGCTGGTCCCTCGAAGGGCTCGGACAGTGACCTGGTACTCCTGTCCAGGGGCCAGTCCTCTCTGGTCATAGGCTGAGGCAGAGCTTGGAACCCGTGCTGTGAATGGGGGGCTCGCCCCCTCTGTCTGTGAGAGAGAGCACCAGGTGGCTCAGGGGCTGGCACTCTTGCCTCTGCTGCTCAATCCCCCTTATCTCTTCTTTCTCCAATTCTAAACAGTGTCAGCATGGTACTGTGTGGAACTTGACCCTGTACAAGCTGGGGAGCAAACATGCTGAGAGCGCTAACTCCTTGTGAGCCACTGTTCTAGGCGAGGTACACACATGAACTCACTTAATTCTCACAACAACCCTACGAAACAGGTCCTATTAGTCCCATTTTACAGATAAGGAAACTGAGACACAGAAGGACAAGTATCTTGCCAACGTCACCAACACCAAGAAAATGGCAAGAATTTAGGCCCTAGCAGTGTGATCCCAGAGTCCCCTCTCATGGGCACCCCCTATTTATCTGTCAGAGTCCCCTCTCATGGGCACCCCGTGTTCATCTGCCAGAATTCCACCCAACATGCACCAGGACTCTCCCTCCAGCTTTGCCCTGGCAACTCTGACTACCTGGGCATGAGGAGCCTTTTCCTAAGCTTGGTCCTGTCAGAACAAATGAAGTAGATCAAGGATGCCCCTTCAAGTTGCACTTTCTCCTTAAAGGGTCTGCCTCACCCTGAACCTCCTCGTAGATGCCTGCTCATGGCTGTGTAACAGGAGTGGGACCCGCATCACAACCTTTCCCTTGAGGGACTTTTCTTGTCTCTTCACCCGGGTTGTAGGCTCCTCAAAACAAGAACCACCTGCTCAAAGTTCCACAAATATGTTTCCTGATTGTTGATTTTGTACCTGGCATCATGCTGGGCATTGGAGACACAAAAATAAAATATATGGTCCCAGTCCTCAGGTAGCTGAGACTCTAATAGCTAAATGTATGGCCACATCTTGAATATATGAGATACTTACAACAATCTCTATGCTTAGCAAATGCTTGTGAGAAAACAACACTCCTACAAGTGTACATTTAAGGAATTATGATTATGTGTGGTGCCTCCAAAGGGAATCTACTGGACCCTGCTCCAGGCAGGGTCTCCTGGAATGCCCACCACTGGGGAAACAGGAGGAACTGTACATCTGTGAGCATTCTAACAGCCCCACATTTTGCTGTGCTGTCCAGCTAGGACAGCCGCTAAGGATGCTGTGTTCTGCCTAGCTATGTTGGCTGTGATGGGGACACCTCCATTCAGCCAAGTAGGATTGGAAATTTCAAAAGGTACTCTCCTAAACCAAGAGAACTGTGGGGAAATCAACATAGTAAATACCGAAGTATAAAACCAGATGAGAAGGCCACGTAGAGATTTCTGGGTTGAGGATGAAGTAAAGCTTTGTCAGTTTTCTGGGTTGAAAAGTTTTCCTGGGCACATAGGACCTCCAGCCCTCTCCTATTCACCCTGCCTTAGAATACCCCAGCCTAGGAAGCCTTGGGTTGGCCTCAACTCAAGACCCATGAAATCCTTACCCTTCCCAGAATTTATTTGTTCATTTTCTCTGTGTGTGTGTATGTCTCTTTCTCTTTATCCACACCCACCCCATCCCCACAGCCGCAATACACACACCTTGGATGCTCCCTGATGATGTCTGGTTCTTTCAGTGAGGCAAGCCTATCCCCAGAGTTCTCCTTCTCCCTATATATATCCTTTAGACACTTCTTGGTTCCTCCTGAGATCCATCTGGGAACAGTCCCCTGAAAGTCCATCAACCTAACCCATGTCTCCTACGTCTCCTAGCACCATCTTACTGGTCTGAAGCAGGCTTTCTTTTTTCTTTTTTTGAGAGGGAGTTTTGCTCTTGTTGCCCAGGCTGGAGTGCAATGGCGCGATCTCAGCTCATCGCGAGCTCCGCCTCCCGGGTTCAAGCGATTCTCCTGCCTCAGCCTCCCGAGTAGCTGGGATTACAGGCATGCGCCACCATGTCCGGCTAATTTTGTATTTTTAGTAGAGACGGGGTTTCTCCATGTTGGTCAGGCTGGTCTCGAACTCCCGACCTCAGGTGATCCACCCACCTCAGCCTCCCAAAGTGCTGGGATTACAGGCGTGAGCCACCACACCTGGCCCTGAAGCAGTCTTTCTAAACAGATGCTGGCAGCTGGCTCTGCCCCTTGGTAAAGCTTGGCTGCTTCACTGATTTTTTTTTTTTTTGAGACGGAATTTCGCTCTTGTCTCCCAGGCTGGAGTGCAATGGCACGATCTCAGCTCACTACAACCTCCGCCTCCAAGATTCAAGGGATTCTTCCTTAGCCTCCCAAGTAGCTGGGATTACAGGCATACACCACCATGCTCAGCTAATTTTGTATTTTTAGTAGAGATGGGGTTTCACTATGTTGGTCAGGCTGTTCTCAAACTCCTGACCTCAGATGATCCACCCACTTTGGCCTCCCAAAGTGCTGGGATTACAGGCATGAGCCACTGCGCCTGGCCTGCTTCACTGATTTTGTTCTTGGGAAGTTTTAGAGTTTATCTCAATATTAACCTCGTGGCTCCAGATGAACTCTACCTTGGCTGGTCCTTGGAGCTTATCTCACCCTCATTGCTGTTTTTAGACTAGACCCAAGCAAAAACTTCTCTGAGGCTGTGAGGTTTTGAGTCCCAGTGAACACTTAGCCTAGCCCTGATTTCCAGGCTGCAGGACACACCCAGACAAGGAATATCTGAACCTCTTTCTCATTCAGGAACTCATCTCCCTCAGTTTCCCCATGCTTTCTCTCACATTCATAGTGGAGCTAGCACTTTGCAAAATAGCAACATTCCTTCACTTAGGGGGCCTCAGGCTGGAGGGGCATCAGAATCACCTGGAGGGCTTGTTGCAATACAGGTTACTGGGCTCTGTGCCCAGACTTTCTGACTCAGTAGATCTAGTGGGGGAGTCTGACAATTTGCATGCCTAACATACTCCCAGGTGATGCTGATGCTGCAGGTCCAGGGAACACACTTTGAGAACCACTGAGTCAGAGTAACAGTGCCACATATACAGGGAGAGGAGAAACTTTCTTCTTCTGCATTCTGAAAAATAATTCCAATAACTAGGTATGTCCCTTGATCTGGAATAGCAGAGTTTGGGCTTTGAGAGAGAAGTGCTTCTGGGAAGAGGGAAGGTAAGAGGTAGAGATAGGCTTCTAGGATGACAGCAGCAGCCAGAGGACAGACAGCTATTGAATATACTCTGTACCCACAGAAATGGACAAAGGGTAGCTGGGCATTGTGGCAGGTGTCTGTAATCCCAGCTACTTGGGAGGCTGAGGCAGGAGAATCGTTTGAACCTGGGAAGCAGAGGTTGCAGTGAGCCGAGATTGCGCCATTGCACTCCAGCCTGAGCAACAAGAGCAAAACTCTGTCTCAAAAAAAAAAAAAAGAAAGAAAGAAAAGAAAAGAAATAGATGGCACTTGCCAAGGCAGAAGGTACGATGCCAGGGACCAGCTACAGACAGCAGAAAGCATGGTCTGAGGGTGGGTAGCCCAGGCCCAAGAGGAGTGTCTGGGGACCAATTTTACAGGAGTGTTTTCCACACCCAGGCTCAGAGAAGACCCAGAATGTGACAGATGCCCATACCGAGAGCAGAATGGATGAGCTAAGAACATGGCCAAGCCTGGCACAGGCCAACTTGGCACCACCATCCTGGCTCTGAGTGAGGGAGAAAGTCTAGGGCTTCAACTGGAAAGCGGCGCCCTTGACAACACCAAGGATCGGTTTGTATTTATTTACTCAGAGCAGGAGACAACTGCTGCCCTAAAAGCTCCTCTTATCTCAAGTGTTTATTTTAATTCTTCTTTCCCTGAAATTTCTTAAGAAACTTCCTTTTCGAAGTCCCACCCTTTCAAGATTAGAGCTATGTAAATAATATATACAGAGAAGAAGAGAGTGGGAGAAACACTTTAAAATGTTAGCAGTGCTTGTTTTAGTGAGGAGCAGCCAGGAATTGTTTTTCTTTTCTCTAGTTGCCAAATTCTTGTCTCGTGATTAAAGTATTTTTATAACAACAACAAAAAAAGATGTTTAAACAGAAGAAAAAATTCAAGCTATCTTGGTTGCGCCACGAAGTTGAGATTTCTGCTTCTGCTTTGGCTGGAGAGTGAGGAGAGGCAGAACATAGTAGGGGGCTGGCCTGAGGAGCATAATGACAAGACAAAGCAAAGTGGAGTGAGGATGACAGTTCCTCTGAGCTGTCCCCTTCTGTCCTAGTGCCTTCCGAGGCTTTAGGCCCAGGGAGTTGTTTATTTTTACAGAGTCCTGGCTAAGCTGATGAAGATGAGGATGACATGGCCCACACCCCATATGGCATTTGTGGGATGATGCAGGAAAACATGAGTTGGATGGTAGAAATGTCAGAAGATTTGCAGCTGGGGAAACGACCATATCTTAAAAGCCCAGTCTGCACAAAGGGAGGCCCCAAATAAGTGACCACAAGGCTTTGTCCTTAGGGTGTTCCCTCTAATGTTTTAAGAGCAAGTTGGATGGCCAGGAGTGGTGGCTCATGCCTGTAATCCCAGCACTTTGGGAGGCTGAGGCGGGCAGATCACTTGAGCCCAGGAGTTCAGGACCAGCCTGGGCATGCAACATGGAGAAACCCCGTCTCTACTAAAAATACAAACATTAGCAGGCTAAGGTGGTGCACACCTGTAGTCCCAGCTACTTGGGAGGCTGAGGTAAGAGGATGACCTAAGCCTGGGATGCAGAGGTTGCAGTGAGCTGAGATGGCACCACTGCACTCGAGCCTGGGCCACAGAGTGAGACTCTCTGTCTCAAAAAAAAAAAAAAAAAAAAAAAAAAAAAGAGCAAGTTGGAGGGAGACAGAGAAAAAACTGGTTTGCATGTACTGATGACAAGGAGGTGGGAGATGAAGTTCACAGACTCAAAATTATTGCAACAGCCTAGACAGCTTGGCCCAAACCAAAAAAGATAACATTGAACAGGGCCAAATGCAAAGGCCTATATTTAGGTGAAAAAAAAAAAAGTGTATATAGTTGAATGTTGTCTTCTTTCCTTCCATCTTTTTTCCCTGCTAATCTGTATTTTCTAAGTTTTCTGCACGGGGCCTATATTACTTTTATAATTAAAAGTTACTTAAAAAACCAAATATGACCAAAACAGCTGCCTGCTTGTGTGACTACAAATTGCTATACGCCAGCTCTGAGAAAAGTGTCCATAAATTCAGAGTAAGTCAGTGGGCCCCTCTCTGTCCCCACATTTTGGGGGCACATGAAAAAAGCAAGAATCACAGGAAGGTAAAGGATTCAGAGAATAAAGACTTAGGGAAAAGGGGCGAAGAAACTGGGAGGTTTTGCCTGAGGAATGAAGACATCAGGCTGGTGTCTCCAAATACCTGAAGGCCTGTGGTGTAGGACACAGGGAAAGCAAAAAACATTCCAGCTGCTGATGAATACCCAGCTAGGGCCAACGGACAGGTGCTAGAATAGGGGCAGACGGATTCTGCAACAATGATAACAGCTAACAGTGATGACCAACAATGGACTGGACAGCCTCAGGAAGTACTGAGCTCTCTGTTACCAGGTGTTCCAACTGTGTGGGACCAATGCTTGCTGGAGATGCTGCAGAGACCTCAGTGCCCAGTGTCAAGCAGGCTAAGAAAGCCTTTACAGCAGCTTCAGGTACCCAGCCATCTGGACTCAACCAATGATCACCTGGAACTTCCTCCAGGAGGTGAGCCCTGCCCCCCTGTCCTGCCCACTCAGTCCCCTCCTGGAGCCTGGCATCTCTCTCACCGTGGGGATGAACTGAATTTCATAGGCATCCACGGGGCCAGGAGCCGGGGTCCACTCTGTCCGAACTGTTGTCTCCTCCAAGAGATGCATCCTCATGCCCTCAATGGTTGGCACCTCTGCCCAAGAGAATGGGTTAGGGAAAGCTGGTTAGCACAAGGCAACCACCCCCACCCACAGCCCCTTTTACTCAGGGACATCGAAGAGGCCCATCCTAACTCCCACTCCTCTCTGCTAGTGGAGAATAGCTGACAGAGGGCTGAACGGGGCTTGGATCGCCTTCACCTTCTCTCCATCTTCAGGAGCACAGAATCTCCCTAAATGCAACTAAATGGGCCCCAACCTGCTCCTCAGAGATCTGAAGGCCAGTCCTGCCCACTGGAAAGCCCCACCCCTGTGGTTCTGCTGCCCCTGGTGGGCACTGGCTCCTTGGAATGACATGCTCTCCCTCCACTCTTCCTCAGGCTCAGGTCTTCCCCATGGCTCCTGTTCACAGAATCACAGTCCCAGAGTACACTGGGGAAGGCTGCCTGCTCACCTTCTCCGCAGTCTTCGCCAGCATACCCATCTTTGCAGACACAGCTGCCATCGTGACACTCTCCTCGGCCACGGCAGTCCCCTGGGCATGTCTGGATGGCACAGTCAGGGCCTCGGAAGCCCTCTACACACACACACTGGCCTGCCCGGCACAGTTCCCGGGGCCCGCAGCCTCCAGGGCAGGCGCTGGCTGGAGGCTCTTCCTGCCCGCAGTCCTCACCGCCATAGCCCACGTGGCACAGGCACACTCCTTGCACACACCGCCCACGTCCCCGGCAGTCAGCCGGGCACATGCGGGTGGCACAGGTAGGGCCGGTGTAGCCTGGGTCGCACAGGCAGCGCCCTTCCTCACAGCGGCCCCTCCCGTGGCAGTTGGAGGGGCAGGTGCGGATGCTGCAGTCCTCACTCACGTAGCCTTCCCAACAGATGCACACACCGTCCTGGCACACGCCGTGCTGGCTGCAGTCATTCGGGCACTGCCTCACACCGCAATCCTCGCCAGAGTAGCCGTCCTCGCACACACACCGCCCATCTAGGCACTGGCCGCGGCCTCGGCAGCCCCCGGGGCAGCTGCGCGTGCTGCAGTCTTCCCCTGAGTAGCCTGCGTCACACACGCACACGCCATCCTCGCAAAGGCCGTGCCCACGGCAGTCCCCGGGACAGCGACGGCTCCCACAGTCCTCACCGGTGAAGCCCGGGTTGCACACGCAGCGGCCATCCACGCAGCGCCCGCGCCCGCGACAGTCGCCAGGACAGGCGCGCGTGCCGCAGTCCCGGCCTGTGTACCCCGGCCAACACATGCAGCGGCCACTCTCACAGCGGCCCCGGCCACGACAGTCCCCAGGACAGCTGCGCACACCGCAGTCCTCGCCGCTGTAGCCCGCATTGCAAACACACACGCCGTTCTCGCAGCGCCCGCGACCTCTACAGTCGCGTGGGCAGGCGCGCGAGCCGCAATCGGTTCCAGTGTACCCCGGCCAGCACACGCAGCGGCCGTCCTCGCAGCGGCCCCTTTGGTTGCAGTCGCCAGGGCAGCTGCGCACGCCGCAGTCGTCCCCGCTGTAGCCCGTGTCGCAAATGCATTCGCCGTCCTCGCAGCGCCCGCGGCCCCGGCAGTCCCTCGGACATGTCCGCGTGCTGCAGTCCTCGCCTGTGTACCCGGGCCAGCACACGCAGCGGCCGTCCACGCAGCGCCCGCCCTCGCCACAGTCCCAGGGGCAGCTCCGCGTACCACAGTCCTCGCCAGTGTAGCCGGGGTCACACACGCAGCGCCCGTCCTTGCAGCGTCCCCGCTGGCTGCAGCCCCGAGGGCAGCTCCTCACCCCACAGTCCTCGCCAGTGTAGCCGGGGTTACACACGCAGCGCCCATTCTCACAGCGCCCCCTCTGACTGCAACCGCGAGGGCAGCTCCTCATGCCACAGTCGTCACCAGTGTAGCCTGGGTCACACACGCAGCGCCCACCCTCACAGCGTCCCCTCTGGCTGCAACCTCGAGGGCAGGAGCGCTGGCTGCAGTCGGGGCCTGAGAAGCCTGCCCGGCACACACACACGCCCTGCACGCAGCGCCCACGGCCTTGGCAGTCCCCGGGACAGGATGGCCAGCCACAGCTGGGGCCAGTGTAGCCGGGAAAGCACACGCAACGACCACGGACACAGCGACCCTGATCATTGCAGTCATCTGGGCAGGACCCCGAGGCTGAGGGTGGGGAAGAGGGAGGGATCTCAGCATCTGTGGGGTCTGAGCAGGTGGGCCCACCCCAGCCTGGCTCACAGGAACAGGTGCAGCGGCTCAGATCAAACACACCATGGAGACTGCAGAGGGTCCGCACATCTGTCTGACCTGGAGTAGGAGGGGAGAGGCAAGTCTCAGTCTCTCTCCTGGGAGAGAGGCTGAGCCTATGTAGTGCTCCTATGTGCAGGCCCCTAGCCAGGCTAGCCTCATCTCATAAGGCCATGTCTGCTCCCAGTTGCTAGTATGTGTAATGTATGCAGCCTCTCAGGGCCCTCGCATATGCTTTGGTTGACATGTAGCCCAGCTCTGCTCTCCAAGTTGTGTTCTGGGCTGCATCCACACCCCTCATGGTGAGGAAGGAGTGCCTTCTTCTAATTCATACCAAGGACCTTTATGGACTAGCAATGCCCACCCCACCCCACCTCTCCACCCTCTTCTGTGATCACCTGCTCACCTGTGCCAGCTTGGGCAGAGGCAGGACAACATCCCCCAGTGCACTGTTCCTTGAGCCCCTTCACCAACTCCTCCAGGATCTCTAGACGGACCCTCAGGGCCTGTACCTCTGAAGCAAGGACTGGGGGCTCGGTGCCTGGGGGACAGCCACAGCCAGTGGAAGGGGGCAGGTTAATGCGGTGGGTGAATACCACCTGCTTCTCCCCTCCTTCCACTGTGTGCTCGTAAAGCTGAGAAGAGGGGCTTCCCACTCCAGCCCCCACTGTGTGGCCCCCTGGCTGGGGAGGGGGCCGGGGGGCTGGCAGTGTCACATTGGACCGTGAAGAGAAGGGGCCTGCTCTGGCTGTGCTCAGCAGCACCAGGAGAACCAGGCTGGAGGTTAGAGCATACTGGGCTGGCATCATTCAGGAGGCTGCAGGGAGAAAGGGTAGGTATGAGAGCAGCTTCAAAAAGGAGACAAAATGAATCCCCCCTTCTCCAGCACATACCCACGGTCCCACCACCCACAAGTAATCTACCCAACTCACATGCATGTAAAAATTCACATTCCGCCCAACCCTAAAGGATACCCTCCCTGGGCAAGTCTGTTCTCTACCTCTCTGATACCATTTATTTACCCTGCTCCTCACCCCCTTTTCTATTGTGTTCCCCTACACTGGTTTTTTTGTTTTGTTTTGTTTTGTTTTGTTTTGTTTGTTTGTTTGAGACGGAGTTTCACTCTTATTGCCCAGGCTGGAGTGCAGTGGTGCGATCTCAGCTCACCACAACCTCCGCCTCCCAGGTCCAAGCGATTCTCCTGCCTCAGCCTCCTGAGTAGCTGGGATTACAGGCATGCCCCACCATGCCTGGCTAATTTTGTACTTTTAGTAGAGACCGGGTTTCTCCATGTCGGTCAGGCTGGTCTCAGACTCCTAACCTCAGGTGATCTGCTCGCCTCAGCCTCCCAAAGTGCTGGGATTACAGGCATGAGCCACCGCACCCGGCTCTACACTGGTCTTTTGTTTTTCCCACGAGCACTACAAGCTCTCACTACTCCAAGGGCCTTTGCATTGTGTGTTCCCTATGTCTGGGATGCTCTTCACTCTGCTCATAAAGGCTGGCTCCATCTTCAAATCTTAACTCCCAGTTAGGGCAGTCTTCCATTACTCTCTATCACAATATCCTGTTCCTGTTCTTCATGGCATTTACTGCTGCCTGAGTTATCAGTTTACTTATTACCTTTCTCTCAATGCTACAATGGGAGCTCCATGAGAACAAGGACCTCATCTATCCCAGGACTGCTGTATACTTGTGTCTGGCACATAAATGTTCTATCTGACACATCAATGTTGAATGAATTAGTGGATGAGTACCTAGGGCCAATCCTTCCCCAAACACCTGGATCCCAGCTCCTACTGTCTTCTAAGAAAAGTGCAGATTATCTTCTCCCTCTCTCTCTCACTTTTTTTTTTTTTTGAGATGGAATCTTACTCTGTCGCCCAGGCTGGAGTGCAGTGGTGCGATCTCGGCTCACTGCAACCTCTGTCTCCTAGCTCAAGTGATTTTCCTGCCTCGGCCTCCTGAGTAGCTGGGATTATAGGTGCCCACCTCCATGCCCAGCTAATTTTTGTATTTTTAGTAGAAATGAGGTTTCACCATGTAGGCAGGCTGGTCTCGAACTCCTGACCACAAGTGATGTGCCCGCCTTGGCCTCCCAAAGTGCTGGGATTACAGGCATGAGTCACCGCACGACCTCTTTCTAATATAGAGACAGGATCTTGCTCAACCCCCTGGTTGAAGCTGGACTTGAACTCCTGGGCTCAAGCCATCCTCCCACCTCAGCCTCCCAGGTAGCTGGGATTAAAAGCATGAGCCACCATGCTTGGCTTCTCTCTCTTTTTTATTCAACTCCTCACTCTCAACTGGATCCTTGCTCAAATATCTCCAATTGAAAAAAAAAAAACAAAAATCCTCTTCCTCAGGACTTACATGATCAAATATCAAGACTTATTTTAAAGGTGCAAGGATAGACAGATGAAACAGAATAGGGCCCAGAAACAGGCCCACACATATGTGGTCAACTAATTAACGACAAAAGTGCCCCTGCAGTTAAGAGGAGAAAGGATGGTCTTTTTAGTTCCTGGTGCTGGGTCAATCCAACATCCCTAAGTAAAAAAAAAAAAAAAAAAAAAAAACAGTCATTCTCCACCTTATGTCTGATATACCGAAATTAATTTGAGATGAACCCAGGACCTAAATAAGAAAAGTAAAGCAATATCTTTCATAGCAATATCTTACAGAAAATTTCTGACCTTGGAGTAAGCAAGATTTCTTTTTTTTTTTTTTTAAGACTGAGTCTTGCTCTGTCGCCCAGAGTGGAGTACACTGGTGCTATCTCGGCTCACTGCAACCTCCGTCTCCCAGGTTCAAGTGATTCTCCTACCTCAGCCTCCTGAGTAGCGGGGATTACAGGCATCTGCTCCCACACCCAGCTATTTTTTGTATTTTTAGTAGAGACGGGGCTTCACTATGTTGGCCAGGCTGGTCTCAAACTCCTGAACTCAGGCAATCCGCCCGCCTCGGCTTCCCAAAGTGCTAGGATTACAGGCTTGAGTCACTGCACCCAGCCGCAAGATTTCTTAAGTAAAACACACACAAAACCTAACCATAGGCCGGGTGCAGTGGCTCGTATCTGTAATCCCAGCACTTCAGGAGGCTTAAGTGTGAGGATTGCATGAGCCCAGGAGTTGGAGACCAGCCTGGGTAAGATAGTGAGACTCTGTCTCTACAAAAAACAAAAAGAATTCACTGGGCGTGGTGGTACACCTGTAGTCCCAGCTACTCAGGGGCTGAGGTGGGAGGATTACTTGAGTCTGGGAGGTCGAGGCTGTGGTGAGCTGTGATCATGCCACTGCACTCCAGCCTGGGCAACAGAGCTGATACTCTGTTTCAAAAAAAAGAAAAAGAAAAAAACAAAACAAAATTTCAGGTCATCAAATTACATCATTAAGAGAATAAGAAGGCAGCTGGGTGTGGTGGTTCACACCTGAAATCCCAGCACTTTGGGAGGCTGAAGTGGGCGGATCATGAGGTCAAGAGTTCAAGACCAGCCTGGCCAACATGGTGAAACCCCATCTCTACTAAAAATACAAAAATTAGCTGGGCGTGGTAGCGGGCACCTGTAGTCCCAGCTACTCGGGAGGCTGAGGAGGAGAATCGCTTGAAACTGGAGGCGGAGGTTGCAGTGAGCTGAGATCATGCCACTTCACTTCAGCCTGAGAGGAAGAGTGAAACTCCATCTCAAAAAAAAAAAAAAAAAAAAAAAAAAATCTCTGCAAAACAAAATAAGCCAAAATCAGGAAACCTAGTTTTTTAAATTGTCAAAAGACAAACAGGTACTCCAGAAAAGAATATAGCCAAAGAGCCAATAAACATTTTATTTATTTTACCTGGGCTCAAGTGATTCTCCTACCTCAGCCTCTGGAGTAGCTAGGATACAGGCATGCGCCACATGCCCAGCTCATTTTTTTTGTAGAGATGGAGTCTTGCTCTTTCGCCCAGGCTGGAGTGCAGTGGTGCGTCTTGGCTCACTGCAAGCTCTGCCTACCAGGTTCATGCCATTCTCCTGCCTCAGCCTCCTGAGTAGCTGGGACTACAGGCGCCCACCACCATACTTGGCTCATTTTTTTGTATTTTTAGTAGAGATGAGGTTTCACCGTGTTAGCCAGGATGGTCTCGATCTCCTGACCTCGTGATCCGCCCACCTTGGCCTCCCACAGTGCTGGGATTACAGGCGTGAGCCACCGCACCCAGCCTTTTTTTTTTTTTTTTTTTTAGTAGAGACAGGGTTTCACCAAGTTGGCCAGGCTGGTCTCAAACTCCTGACCTCAAGTGATCTGCCTTGGCCTCCCAAAGTTATTAGGATTACAGGCATGGGCCACCACACCCACCCTATTTCATTTTATTTTAAGATAAACTCTACCTCTGTCACCCAGGCTGAAGCACAGTGGCACAATCACAGCTCACTGCAGCCTCAAACTCCTGGGCTCAAGTGATCCTCCTGCCTCAGCCTCCAGAGTAGCTGGAACTACAGATGGGCATCACCATGCCTGGCTAATTTTTAAATTTTTTGTAGAGATGGGATCTTGCTGTGTTGCCCAGGCTGGCCTTGAACTCCTGGCCTCAAGCAATCCTCCTGCCTCACCCTCCACAGTAGTTGGGCTTACAGGTGTGAGCCACTGCACCCAGATCCAAGCAGCATTTTAAAAGATGCACAAAATCACTAGTTATCGGGTAAATGTACGTTAAAACCACAATAAGATGCCACTAAATATCCTCCAGAATGCTTGTCCCTCTTCAAAGAGGCTGTCATTGCTTGATATTGGCAAGAATGTGAAGCAGCTGGAATTGTCATCTGTTGCAAGTGGGAGCATATATTAATGCAAACACTGGAAAGTTGTTTGGTAGTATCTGCTAAAACATATAGTCTATAACCCAGATATCTATAACTAAATATCCAGTGGAAATGACTGCATAGTTCTTCCAAAAGACGTAGACCATAATGTTCATGAGATTTATTCCTATATTAGCTAAAACTGAAAGCAACTCAAGTGTCCATTCATAAAGTGGATAAATAAATTGTGCCAGAGTCATACAATGGAATACTATACAGCAATAAAAAACACCCTATTGCTACATGCAACATGGGTGAATTTCACACACATAGTGCTGAGTAAAAAATATCACACACAGAAAGAGAATGCTCTTATACTCTTATATACCCTTCCTGAGCTACCAAAAAAAGAAAAAAGAAAACACTCTGAATAATGCCGTTTATATGAGGTTCAAAAACAGGCAGAGGCTGGGTGCAGTGGCTCATGCCTGTAATCCCGGCACTTTGGGAAGCCGAGGCGGGCGGATCACGAGGTCAAGAGATGGAGACCATCCTGGCCAACACGGTGAAACCCTGTCTCTACTAAAAATACAAAAATTAGCTGGGCATGGTGGCACACACCTGTAGTCCCAGCTACCTGGGAGGCTAAGGCAAAAGAATTGCTTGAATCCCAGAGGCGGAGGTTGCAGTGAACCAAGATAATGCCACTGCACTCCAGCCTGGCAACAGATCAAGACTCTATGTCAAAAAACAAACAAAAAAACAAACAAAAACAGGCAGAGTTAATCTTTGCTTTTAGAAGATAGGATCAGATTACTTGTAGGGATTATTGACCGGAAGGAGTCATATTTCTGGAAATATTTTGTATCTTAATCTGGGTGGTTACATAGATATATACATATTCAAAAACTCATTGAGCTGCACACTTAAGACTTTGGCATTTTGCTGTATAAAAATTGAACCATGGCTGGGTGTGGTGGCTCATGCCTGTAATCTCAGTACTTTGGGAGGCCAAGGTAGGCGGATCACTTGAGGTCAGGAGTTCAAAACCAGCCTGACGATCATGGTGAAACCCCGTCTCTACTAAAAATAAAAAATAAAAAAAAATTAGCTGGGCATGGTGGCAGGTGCCTGTAATCCCAGCTACTTGGGAGGCTGAGGCGGGAGAATCGCTTGAACCTGGGAGGCAAAGGTTGCAGTGAGTTGAGATTGTGCCACTGCACTCCAGCCTGGGCAACAGAGCGAGACTCCATCTCAAAAAAAAAAAAAAAATGAAACCTTAAAAAACCTATCCCCAATCTCACACCCCCTCCAGCCACCACATATTTCTCTCCTCTACTTCATGGCCACAGTTGTCAAAATTTATTTGTATTTGATGTTTACATTTCCTTATAGCCTATGCATGCCTCAATCCACTCTACTCCCTCCAACCCACCAAACAGCTCCCTCTAGGGCTTCCCAATGACTTCGGTGCCACAAAATCTAAGGGACATTTGTCTTCATCTTGCTTGACCTTTGACTTCTCTCAAAATCACTAGACACAGTTCACCGCATCTTTTTTTTTTTTTTTTTTTTTGAGATGGAGTCTCACTCTGTCGCCCAGGCTGGAGTGCAGTGGCACGATCTTGGCTCAATGCAACCTCTGCCTCCTGGGGTTCAAGTGATTCTCCTGCCTCAGCCTCCCGAGCAGCTGGGACTACAGGCACCCGCTACCACACCTAGCTAATTTTTTATTTTTAGTAGAGACGAGGTTTCACCATCTTGACCAGGCTGGTCTTGAGCTCCTCAGCTCAGGTGATCTGCCCACCTCGGCCTCCCAAAGTGCTGGGGTTACAGGCATGAGCCACCACACCTGGCCCTTCTCTTTTAAAACATTCTGTATCCACGCTGACCAATATGGTAGCCAGGAGGGATATGAGGCTCTGCAACACTTGAGATGTGACTAGAACGACCAAGTAAGTGAATTTTACTCAGTATTTTTAAAAGCTCCCCAGATGATTGTAATGTGCAACAAATTTCTACTAAATTAATAGACCTACTGCTCTAGTCATCCACCTGGTACCTTCATCCAGACTTATAACTTCAATTTCCAAACTATACACCAATTTGTAAAACACCCCAGTCATCTTCCTCTCGCTCCACAGCAATATATCCACCTGCCTACTTGGCATCTCCACTTGGGCACCTCAAATTCACCATGCCTGTAACCTGAACTCACGGTCACCTTCCTGTATCCCATCCCCTCCCAGAATTCCCCATTGAAGCTCAGGACCCCACCATTCATCCAGCTTTACAAGCCAGAAACCTAATAGCCCA
The DNA here is from genome assembly GCF_000001405.40 of Homo sapiens. Taxonomy (NCBI): domain Eukaryota; kingdom Metazoa; phylum Chordata; class Mammalia; order Primates; family Hominidae; genus Homo; species Homo sapiens. Next base: position 3,446,509 of record NT_167247.2, read on the forward strand.
TTCAAGGCTACCATATTTCCTTGTATCTACCTGTATTTTCTCATAAACATCTCTTTAATTCATTTCCTTCTCTCCCACTTACCTTCATTCTAATCCAAGCTTCCATCCGCCTCTTGCCTGACAACTGCAATTGCCTCCTGGCTGCTTTTTTTTTCTTTTTTTTTGAGACAGGGTCTCACTCTGTCACCTAGGCTGGTGTGCAGTGGTGCGATCATAGCTCGCTGCAGCATTGACCTCCTGTTGCTCAAGCAATCCTCCCACCTCAGCCTCCTGAGTAGTTGGGACTACAGGTGTGTGCCATCACGCTCAGCTAATTTTTAATTTTTTTTGCAAAGACAGGATCTTTCTATGTTGCTCGGGCTGGCCTTGAACTCTTGGACTCAAGCAATCCTCCCACCCTAGCCTCCCAATGTGCTGGGATTACAGGCGTGAGCCACTGTGTCCAGCCCTGACCCTTCCCTCTGCTTCCACTCTTGCCCTCTACAGTCTCACAAACGCAATCAGGATGTCCCTATCCTCAAAATGCTTCAGTGTCTCCCTTCCAAATTCTCTTAGAACACTGACAAACAGCCCTACCATCATGTATCCCCTGCTCCCACTTCACCACCCATAACATTTCCCTCCCTCCCTCCATTCCAGCTCCACTGACCTTCAAGTCCCTCATACTCTCTGTGCCCATCCCCAACCCCAGATCTTTGTATACTCTGTTCCATCCGTGTGGAACACTGTTCCCTTCTCTCTTGGCCTTCTCATCCTTCAGGTCTCAGCCCGCCATTTTTTTCACAGGGAAGTTTTCCTGACCAGGTCAGGTCCTCCTATCATGTGATATCACAGCATCATGCCATTCTCATGTGTAGCGTTTATAACAATTTGCAATCATATATAAACAAATATTTTTTTGAAGTCCAAAGTAATAATAAATATACTGTGAGATTATTTTATTACTTTCTTGCCCACTAGACTATAAAGTCCATGAGGGCAGGCATGGCACCTATTTTTTTTTCTTGGCTGCTGTATCCCTGCATCTGGCACATAACTGGTGCTCAATAAATATTTACCGACTATATGAATGAATGAAAAGTTCAATGTAAACGCAGGACTAGCATTAAGGCTGGAACCAAGGGCAGGACCAAGGTCAGGGCTAGGACCACGGACAGTGTCTGGGACTGGAAGTTGGTTAGACACAGCCACCAGGGCTGAGGCAGAATCAGAGGCCAGGCCAGGGAAGATCCTGGCAGGACCAGATGGTACAAGCACTTTGGAAAACTGTTTGACAGAATCTACTAAATGTACTAAAGGTGAACACATGCAAACCCTATGACCCCGCAATTCCACTCCTAGGAATATACCCAACATAGCTCATAATAGCCCCAAACTGGGAACTACTCAAACATTTCACATCAGTAGAATAAATAAATTGTGGTTTATTCACACCGTGGAATAAAATAAAGCAGGAATGAACTATAGTTATATGCAGTAGTGTGATGGATCTTACTAAGATGATGTTGAACAAAAGCCAGACACAGGAAAGAGCATGCTGCACAGTTCTATTTATGTGAAGTTTGAGGAGAGGCAACATTAATCTGTAGTGCTCCAAGTCAGAAGTGTGATACTCTTGAGGGGGTAGTGACTAGTAGGGGCATGGGGGGGGGGGCTTCTGGGGTGCTAAAGGTGTCTTGTTTCTTGATCTGGATGACGGTTACCCAGTTGTATGTGTTTGTGGAGTTTACTGAGGCAGGGATTGGGGAGCACACAGAGACAAGAGGTGGGAGGAAAGGTGGTAGGGGGGTCCCAGGATAAGACAGGAGACAGGGCTATGGCAAACCTGAGTGTGAGGGGGCCAGTCAGGATTCAGCTAGGGTGAAGAGTTGAGGAGAGATGTTGAAAGGTGCCCAGCTCTTCCAGACCAGAGGCTGGGGAAAGGAGGAGGGCAGGGTGGGTGTGGAAATGCTGACCGGTGAGGAGTGGGGGATGTGTCACTGGTAGGCGGAGGTGACTGTGACACACACACACCTCCACCCAACACGCACACATCTTCTGGCTTTCTACTCTTAAACTTTTCTCCTGGATCAGAGAAAAAGGAGTAATTGGGGCTACCAGCCATCACATTCTGCTACCAGCCAGCAAGAGACGGAAAGGGAGCTGAACAGGGACAGAGTGTTTCCACACCAAGAGGCTCCCCACCCAAGAAAGCCCAGGCCGAGAGGCCTGGCATACAGAGAGCTGCCCTTTCCTGTCTCCCCAGCCCTTCTCTCAGCCTGGAGTGTAGCCTTGGGTAAGAGATGGGCTCTGACCGACCCTCAAATCCTGTCACTTTGTGTCTAAGGCCATGCTAATCACTCCCACACCCTGGGAATGCTTGCACAAAGATGTGTACACATGTACACTTACAAATATATTAATGTGTGCTCATCCACAAGTACAAACATACCTGCACAGACACACAAATCCACCCCCAAAACCTGCATCCTTGTAGGTACACATATGGGTGCCCATGCACACACGTGCACACACACCCAATCTCCCCTTCAGGTTTCCTCCACACCTAGTCATTGGGTGATGCCTAAGAAGGCTGATTTCTTGTTGGCTCCGAGGGCAGCTCTGTGAGTGAAAGAACCTGGATGGTGTGAGAGGAACAAAGCAGGAGGCCCTTCCCAGTGGGAAGCAGCGGACACATGGCCTCCACCATACTTCCCCGTACCCCTGGAGGCCTCTGTGAGTTGTCCAGTGCCCCTCCCCAAATAAGTGGATTCCTCATCTTTCCCTGCACAGTGGGGGAAAGCAGAGAGGGTCTTTGCACCAGGAAGGAGTGAAGAGAGCTCACCAGCTTTTCTGGAAAGCTGGTGAGATTGGTCTAGAAGAGCAGAGCAGCCTCCATTGACCACACACCCAGAGGCTCCTTCCCAATCTCCCTCCCTGCCCTGTTGCCACCACCCAGCCCTCCAGCTCCCCATTCCAGCTCCTGGGATAATTCTGCTCTTCTCTCGGTACTGGGCAAGCAAAGAATTGGGTGTCTCTTGTGTCTCCCCTTCACCATTCCCCCTGCCACTATGTCTGGGGTGGTTCTCTGTAGTGTGTGTTTGGAGAGAGATATGGCCTCACCCTCTTGGCACCCTCCCCACAGTTGGAGGGCTGGCAGGGATGGGGGCATCTTCCCAAACTGTGACTCAGCTTCCTGGGTATTTTGTGTTGTAGCCAACTTTGACACTTTGCTCATTAGGGACTGTATAGGTCCCAAGGGGTGGGGAGAGGGGCTGGCTTCCATAAAAGATGTTCCACAGATGGGGGTTCTGGTCCCGCCCCCATGCCTCCCTCTGACCCTCCTGCTACACCCTCAGTTGAATCTGGCAATGAGAGGTGAAGGTAGAAGGATTCTAGGAGTGAGACTAAAAAGGGAATGTGGGGGTCTCAGATATTGGGCTGGAACCAGGTAGGAAGGAGGTGTCAGGGAGGGGTAGGTTGGGGAATCCAGATACCCCTTATTCTGGGGAGCTAATCGGCCTGGGAATGGAAAAATTAAGAGAAAGGATTTCCAGGCCCCAGCTGAAAATGGTTAGGGGTGCAATGAGAGACAGGAAGGCAGTTTCTGGTCCTGCACCTAGTGGCTAGGTCTGGAGTGAGCAAAGGAAGTTTGAGGAATTGAGGTGCTGGGTCCCCAGGGACTTGAAGGCAGGGTCAGGGAAAAGAGGAGGGGCTGGAGATGCGGGAAGCAGGGGCAGGGCAGGCAGCAGCTGTGGTGTTTCCGAGTTGCTTCCCAGTAGTTCCTCTCAGTTCCACTTCCAGTTGTTTCTATGCCATTAAATTCTTTCCAGGCGAGATAAGGGGCCCGCCCTTCCCACCCGGGGCGTGTCACGTGTACTGGTGGTGGGGGGCGGGGGCGGCGAGGTGAGGGAGAGTGCGGGTTCAGACAGACAGAGGCAAGGGGAGCCTGGAAGGGGCACAGAGTGAAGACGGAGCCCCTGTGCCCCCAGAGGCATCTCTCAGCCATCCCAGCCCTGCTGAACCGTGAGTCATGAGTGCAGAGCTCTGGCCAAGAACAAGTTTTAGGATCCTCTCTGCAGGCTCTGTGCACGTCCCAGACCCGAGTCCTGACTGTCCCATTTCAGTATTTCCTAAAGAGATCTCCCAGACCTCCCTCCCTGCAACTCTCACGCTGCCACCTAGGGAGTCCCCATTTGGATGCCCAAAGAAGCACCCTCTGGCACCTCCTGGAGCCTGGAGCCCCCAGAGCCTAGGCTCAGCTGCTCTAGCCCGACATTTGGGATTCCGCAAGCACTTTCCTTCCAAGGTTCAGCTGGCCACCAGTTCAGCCTAGTCCTATCTTCCCGCTAGCCCCAGCACCTCCAGGGCCCAGGGGCTCACCTCACCAATAACCACCTCTACCCTGGTTCCACCATCTGACTCCCGGAGTCCCTCGGTTTGTTCCCAGCCCCTCTCAGTTGTCTGCATCCCATCCAAACCCTGACACATACTGCCCACCCCAACACACACATACCACCCTCTCCTCCCAGACACTCCTTCACAGGGAGCCTGGTTCCCAGCGAATGCTCCTATGTCCTCTGTCCTGAACAGAAGTCCTTGCTCTGGAAGCACTGCTGAGAGCTCACCTGCCACACCTTCACCTGGGGCATGGGGATAGGCGAGAAATCCCTTGCCTCTCCTTCTGGGTCTCCCCAGAACTCTGTTCCTTACCTGGGCAACCGAGCAGCTGCAGTGCCTCTGCACCTGCTCTGTCCCCAACCCCGGGAGGGCGGCGTCTCAGGGCAGGACAGGGAAGTCTCCCTCACTTGTCCCCTGCAACAGGGGCTGAGCCACAACCGACTGTGGATCTCGGCAGCGACAGTGAGGAGGGAGTCTGCAGCGAGCAGGGGAGGAGAAGGGGAGGACCAGGATGAGGTCAGGGAGGGGAGCGGAGATAGGGCAGGTCCTCCCACCCCTCCCAGGCCCTCCCACATGCCACCCCTCCTCTTCTCCTGCCCCCACCCCAGCCCCCACTCCCTGTCTAGCATCACTGTCTCACCATACCCTCATCTCAACCCCCAGCCCCGGTCTTACCTCCCACGTCCTTTCCCTATGCCATTTTTAGCTCACCCTAATTTTTGCCCAACTTGACACCCCCCACCCTTCCTGCCATTTCTTTTTTCCCCACCATTTCTCCACCTGCTGCCCCTCCTCTCTGACCCCAGTGGTTTCCTCTCAGCCTATATCCTTCCTCATGGCCAGCCCCCTTCCCCTCCCTCCCCCATGCTCCTCTCCCATCTCTTCCCAGCCACTGCTCTAGCTTGGATCTCTGGATCGCACCCCATGTCTATCACCCAGTGCTGGCTCCCTCATCCTCTCACCAGTTCTCCCCTGGCAGTCTGGGGCAGGGAGCAGGGGCAGAGGGCAGGAGGCAAGAGGCAACCTCTTTCTCCAACTGGGACCGTCTCTGGGACCCCAAGTCCCCACCCTGCTCCAGTCCCACCATTTCTATCTTCTCGGCTTATCCCGTCCCCGAGCCACTCCTGCTGTCTGTTCTGTTCAGTCCCTCTCCTGTCACTGCCCCCTTTGCATTCTCCTACCTCAGCAAGTCCCTAGAGAAAGAGCAGGTGAGGCTTGGGCACTGGCAGGGCAAGGGCTTGGGTGAACACTGGGACATACAAGCCTTGGGGAGGAAGCTGGGGTTGGGGCGGACAAGGAAGGAAAGCCTGAAGGTTAGGAGGAAGGTTTAGGGTTGAAGAAAGGGCTAGAGACAGGAGGCAAATATAAGGGTGGGTCACCTGAATAGAGGGTGAAGTGGTGGAAAGCAGGGTGGGGGGCTGGTGCCTGGGTGCTGCGGGGGAGCAGGAACAGAGGCGGGGAGAGGTAGGGGCTGGAGGAAACGGACACGCTGTCTCTGGTCCCAGGCAGAAGACTGACAGCCAGAGGACAGGGGGGACAGGGAGACAGACACACCCCACATAAGTCTGTTGGGTGTTTCCCTAGCTTCATCTCCCCATGTGCTGCCCTGACAAGGAGCTGAAAAAGAGACTTTGCTACAGAGGAGAAATATCCCAGCTGAGTGGGAACCCACTACCCCCAGCTTCACAGTGAGGACTGGGTCTCTCTATCCTGCTACAGACCTCACCACTGAGGTGTAACTTGGCCAAGTCACGGGTGAAAGGTACGTGAGGGAGCCCATATGTGCTTGATTCTGCCACATGGGTGACGGCCCAGGTGTCTGCACACCAGGTCAGATCCCCATGGTGGCAGGTGTGTGGTGTTCCTGGGTCAGGGCGTGCCTGCACTGCATGTGGCTGTGGCCAGATGCCCAGTAAGCTCCATGTGGCCGAGGGCAAAGGCACACATGGGCTTTTGCGTGGGTGTCCCCGTGTGTGTCCGTGTGTCTGGGTGTGTGTGGCTGTTTTTTTCCTGGCTTTGATGGGGAGGATGAAGTCAGCATCTTGGACAGAGCCAGGCTCAGCTTCCTTCCTCTGCCTTGGCCTGAAGCCCCCAGAGCCAGCAGTAGGTAGCAGCTTCCCAAGGATCTCCTGGCAGGAGGTGGGGAGCCCTGCAGTGATAGGAAGAGGGAGGGTCTGGAGACAGTATCACACAGAGGGCAGAACACAGGGTATGAATTTCCTCTGACACCTTCAGATTTCTGTTCCATGGTCATATCCTTTAGTGTGTGTGTGCACGCGCGTGTGCCTATGCCCTATGTCCTGGCTTTATTATTTAGGAAGAATGGTCAACATAAGTACATTTGGCACAGAGAGTGGCCAGGGACCTCAGAGAAGACAGCAAGAAGGATGGTCCTGGGATGTTCTGGAAGCCCACTGTTGGGGTCTCAGAGAGAAATGTGGGATTCCAGATGTACACAAGCTTATAAGGCATTTGGGGAAGCCACTGGAAGCTTAGCAGATATAGTTTCAGGTTCTGAAATTATCTTTGTTTACCATTTGATTCACCCTTTGGTTTCCAGGCTCATGGAGAAGCTCATGTCTTGTATGTTCACATCTTGTAAGAAAAGCACCAAGCCTTGCACAGTGTAGGTGACCAATAAATGCAAGTCAACACTGAAATGTGAAAGGACTGGGAGAGAGGAGGGGGAAAGGGTAAGGAGCCCAGGCGTGAAGGCAGGGAAGCCCAGTGGTCAGAGCTGGGGTTGGCTTCACTGAGGTGTCTGGGTGGTGGTGGGTAGAAAGGTCAGTGTTGTCCAGAACTGTCCACAAGCTCCGGCTGTTCTCTGTAACCTCAGTCCCTGTGTCTTCAGCTCTGAGCCTCCCTCCTTGAATGATCCTCCAAGTTCCTGTCCTGACCTCAGGAGGAAAAGGGATGAAAGATAGAGAAAAGGAAAGGAAAGATAGGGAGGAGAGAAGGCAGACACATAAGAGTAAGGGCAATTGAGGGCAAGGACCTGAAGGATGAAGACAGGGGAACAAGAGATGCCAGGGGCTGCGGTCCAAGAAAGCAGTCCCAGAGAGGGGAAAGATAGAAAACACTTGTGCCGGGCTTCCGTTTACAAAACAGTTTCCTACACAGTGCGGGCATTAATCCCACTTTGTGGCTGAGGAAACGGAGGCTCATAGACATTAAGGGTCTTGTTCAAGGGGCTAAGTCAGTAGTGGTGAAGGTGGGTCTCACCCAGGTGTTCTCATTCCTAAGCCTGTATTCGCTCTTCTCCCCAAACAACTCCAGGAAAGGAAAGGATTGAAGACTTAGGGAACAAATGAAGTGGCTTCTTTGAAGCACTTGTACAAAGAAGGGTGGAGAATCCAGATTTTTGAAACTTTTCTGCATCCAGTTATTGTGTAGATTCACTTAGAAGAAATGGCATCAGATGGGGAAGGGGGTGGTCAACATTCCATTATTGAGAACTGGGGGTCGGGTGAGGATGGGGAACACAGAATGTAAAGACAGAGCGCAGGATGAAAGATGGGAGAGAACTAAGAGGCTACAGCTGAAAAGGGGGCAAGGGAGCCTCAGAAGGAAGGGTTTGGACCCTTAAAACTTCCTTTGCCTAGAGACATGGGTGTGGGGAGAAGGGAGGAGGAAGGACATTTCTATCTCGTGACAAAAGAAAGTCACACAATTGTTTTGTTCTCTGCTCTGAGGCGGGTGGGCGCCTGTATTTACCAGAGGGACCCAGGTCGCTGTGGCAACCACACATCTGGGCCCCGGAATCCAGATGTGCTGTATCCAGAAGCCATAGCAGAACGATGAGGCAAACATCAGGCTCCCCAGTGCTGGCCCCCACAGCTGGGAAGAGGATGGAGAACTGGTGTGGGAAGTAAAGGGAGTGGGGGAAGGAAGGAGGAGGAGAGGACCAAAGTGGGGGAAAAGAGAGGACATAATGGAAAGGGGCAAGAAATGTGGACGAGGGAGCAGAATGGGAAATAGAAAGGGGGCGGCATGAGAAAGGGAGGAGACAAGCACAGGGTCAGCAGCAGCAGCAGATGAGAAGACCAAGAAAAACAAAGGAAAAAGACAGTGAATTTAAAAATATATATATATTTTTAAATAAGGCCAGCACGGTGGCTCATGCCTGTAATCCTAGCACTTTGGGAGGCCAACATGGGAGGACTGCTTGAGGCCAGGAGTTCAAGACCAGCCTGGGTAACATAGCGAGACCCCACTTCTATTTTTAAATTAAAAAAAAAATTTAAGACAGTGAAGCAGTGGATGGGGTGGGGAAGATACAAAAGAAGAAAAAAACAGTGATGAATAATGGTTCAAAAAGAGGTTGTGATAACTGCTAATGAGGTAGAGAGCAAAGAAAGGCAGGAAAGAAGTCTAGAAAGAGGAAGGGAGGGATGATGAGGTCAGGGATGAGAGAGAACAAAAGGTGGGATCCTGAGGAAGAAATGAAGGAGATGGTGGCACAAGGAAAGCAGAACAGAAAGACAAAGTGGGCATAGGGCAGGAGGGGCCAATGAGGTGCAGGAGTGACAGCGACCTGGCATGCTGAGTGGCCTTGGGGGTGTGGCCAGAGGAATGGAGATCCACATGGGCCTAGAAGGCAGCAGCCCAGAGCCTGCCCGGCTTTCACCCTGCATCAGGTACCCACTCACCGTCCTTCTCAATCCTTCCTGCCACCACAATCCCTCAGCCAAGAGAGGTCTGATGTCTCATCCACACCAAAGTGCCAGCTGTCCCTTGCCAATCAGCAGAGGAGCAGGATGTCCCACCCCAGGGTGACCCCTGAGATGCCAGCACTTCAAGTACTTTCCCGAACTGGGGGCAGGAAGGAGGAAGACAATGGGACAACGAAACAGTAATGAACCCAAATGGGATAAAAGTGGAAGAGAGAAGGACAACAGAGATGGGGACAGAAAGGGGCAAGGGATGAGGAAAAGGTGTATCTATTATGGACCAGGCACTGAGGACGTCGTCTTTCATCCTGTCATCAACCCTGATTAGGAGGTAGGAACATCCCATCTTACAGATAAGCAAACTAAGGCTCAGAATGTTTAAGGACATCTACTAACGAAAGGCAGGGTAGGGAATCCAGCTTAGGTGATGTGCTTCCAAAATCCTTGTTCTCACTGCACCCCCTCCAGAGATACGGTGGATAAGGCTCAAGGACTCTGGGATAGAAAGCATAGCTGAGAAGCTGGGCTGCCCTCTGGAGGGAGGAAAGGTCTAGTTCCTGGGATCCCTGGTTCCAGGTTGCCATAGTTACTTGGTCTGTTTTCACCCCAAACACAGTAATGGGTGAGGGCAGTGGGAGGGGTGTGGGGGTTGCCTGGCTGGACACATGAGGTTCTTCCTCCCTCCTTCAGGCCTGGGCTTATGGCCCAGGCAGCCCCTGTCCAGTCATCTGGGCATTGAGCCCAGGCCCAGCTCACACCCTCCAGCTGACCCAGGACACTCCTGCAGGGTCAGGCCTGAGGCACTGCTGAACAGGAGCAGCTGGAGGGGGATTCTTCCAGGTTGGCCTCAGACTCAATCCCTCACTTTGTCCTGCTCCCCTTCCTCCTAATTAGAATGCACAGCCTAGCCAGGCATGGTGGCTCACACCTGTAATCCCAGCACTTTGGGAGGCCGAAGTGGGCAGCCTGGCCAATATGGTGAAACCCTATCTCTATTAAAAATACAAAAATTAGCCGGGTGTGGTGGCGTGCACCTGTAGTCCCAGCTACTTGAGAGGCTGAGGCAGAAGAATCACTTGAACCCAAGAGGCGGAGGTTGCAGTGAGCCAAGATCGCGCCACTGCACTCCAGCCTGGGTGAGAGAGCAAGACTCCGTCTCAAAAAAAAAAAAAAAATTAAAAACATAAGAATGTACAGCTTTTTCTGCCTGCCCCACTCTTGTCTTTGTCTTTCATCTGGACTCTCAAGTCTCAGTCCCCTCCAGTTTAGGGCTTAGAGGATATCCTGCCACATCCCCCTTCCCTTCCAAATATCACCCCTTCTTCACCGAGACCCCCACTTCCTGGGCTCTGAGCCTCTGGCCCCAGCTCTTGTTGTTTGTTTGAGCTGCTCATCCTGGACAGCAAGAAGAGGGGGAGAACCTGCTCGAGAGCAGGAGACCCAGAGGCTGCTCACCCTGAAGGGCGTGGGGCCCCATCTTTCCTGTTGACTCACATTCCAGGGATGCGTATCCTCTAGTCTGTCACGCCATGAGACATCGTTGCTAGACACAGATATACCCCAGAGTTGCAGGGGTGGGGGCAAGGGGATGACATGCGGTCTGTGATCCCGCACCCACCCCACCTCAGAGCCAGCTATGTCTTCAGTGCTTGATTCTTTGATGCTGGCTCTGGAAAAGCCACTTTCCCCCAAACTCCCCATCACGAGCCAGGAAGGCAGCCACCATTCCTTCAACTCCCTCCAAGTTGTTTATTTAATAATAATAAAAAAGAAATGCACACACATAAACCTGAACTCCCCCCCACCCCACCCTCCCTTACTCCCAGTAACTAGCTCCAAAATGAAAAAACTTCCCTTGTTCCACCTGGGGACTAAATTCCCACCTCCACTGCCATAACACTAGAGAAACAAAATAAAAAATATGCAGCAGCTCACCACCCACCCCACAACTGAACCTCACACAATCCCCTCAAACAAAGAAGCCAGGACTGGGGGTTCACAGGAATGAGAGGAGCCCTATATTCTGAAAAGGGATGAGAAGAGAGGTGAACACCCCCACCTCAAATAAGTGCTTAACCCCCACACCTGCTCTTTCCTTTACCAATTGCCCCAAGCCTGGGGATCAGGGAAATTTGAAACAGTCCCACCTGGCCACCTGGTACCCCCTCCCCCCGTTCTAAGTCAGTGTGAATGGCAGAGGTCAGGGATGATTGAGGTAGAGGGGCTGGTGGGAGGCCTGGTGGGCCTGGCTGGCTGCAGAGACTGGCAAGGGGCCACCTGTGGCATTGCCTGGGGTTGGGGATGGCTGTTTTCGGAGCGAGGGGGGCACTGTGGAGGTCTTGATGTGAATCACCCTGGTGTCCATGACCTCACACTCGATCTGCATCATCTCCTCATAGTCCCCCGGGGCCCCACGGCCTGACAGGGTCTCTGTGAGAAGGGGAGAGTTAAGGAAGAGGAGATGGGGAGGCAAACAGGGATTGCAGGGAGGAGGGGAGGAGGTCAGAAAAGTAGAGGTGAGCAGAGAGAAAAAGAAAGGGCAATAGTGAGGAGGCAGATCCATAGCGGGAGTTAAACAGGATGGCAGGGACAGAGTTTGGTGCAGGGGCAAGGAGAGGGTAGGAAAAGAAAAGGGCATTGAGTGTGGGGTCACACAGGAGAGGACATCAAGAGAAAAAAGTAAGTGAGAGTCTAGCAGGTTCCCGGCCCCCCGCCTCTGCCCAGTCATCTACCCAAGCACCTTCACCAGGGAAGGACCCTCACCCTTGTCTCCCTCCCAAGTCTCCTGCATGGTGCTCTTCCCTCCACCTACTTCCTGCTGCTTCTCACCTGTGGGTCCAGCAGCTCTCTGGATGCCCTGCTCCTCTCCCCCTTCCCCCTCAGCTCCCAGGCTGGATCTCCCTGTTGGAACTGCCCCCATACCCAGCAGGGAAAGAGTTACCATTGGGGGCCATGGCAGGCATCACCAGGGACATCTTGGGCCGGGAGGTCTTGTTGTGGCTGATGGCTGGGAGCAGCAGGTGGTCCTGGGGAACAGATGGGCCAGGCCAGAAGGGTGGAGGCAAAGATGCCAACAAGCTCCCCAGCCCTACTCTACATCCCCCCACTGAAGACAGACTGCTGGGAACCTGGGGTGACAGAGATGGAAGGGCAGGAGAAACTCACCCTTCGGAAAGAGACAACATAAAATGTGTCTTCCCGTCGGTCAATTGCATCCAAGAATGCTGGCTGCGAACGGTCTGGGTGGCGATATAGTTGCAGCTGGCCCACAGAATCCCTAGGCAGGTGGGGAAACAGGATTTGAGGGGAACTAAGCCCAATGCTCAGTTTCTACCAGGGAAGCGGGTAGGATGAGAGAAAAAGACAGGAGACCCCCAGTGGAGGAGGGAGGTATAATCCCACTGGTGACAGTAATGACAGGCACAGGACAGCTACTGGGGGTACAGCTCTTGAAAGTGGAATTTCACTTAATAAGTAAGCACCCCACCCCACACTCACCTTTCTGGGGGTCCAGGGGGTTGGATGGGGACTGCCTTAACTGGAGGTGACTTCTTCCGTGGCTGAGACTTCTGGAAGGAGAAGTATCTAAGGACTTGGAGAGGGTGAAGGGAAAAGGGAAAGAGACAAACAGCCCCTGGAAGCTGATGCCACCTCCCACTCAACCCTCCACTTCCTTCAAACGATCCCTCAAACTTCCACAGCGAGATGCCCACTAGAAATCCCCAGACAAGGCCTTTAGCCCTTGTCTTCAAGTGGCCTTCCTTGAACCAGCCACCCGCCCTACCTGTCTCTCCTGGGCCCTCTGAGGGATCTTCCTCCGGCCTCTCTGGTGGCGCTGGACCCAGCCACTCAACTCGTCAGCAAGCCTGGGGAAATGGAGGAGCTCAGGACCTCCATGCCAGGCCAAGATTCCCACCCTCCTTGCCCACCCACAGGAGTGAGGAGAGGGCAGGGAGCACTGGCGCTTTAGTACACAGGCCAGCCAGGCTGACTGCAGAAGGCCTTGGGAGGCCGGGGGAGCTGGATGCCCCAGCAATGAATCCCACACCTCAGGGACTCAGTGCGGTTGAAGTGCCGGCAATCAGAGGAGAGGAAGAGCTGGTCTAGGTCTCTTAGTAGTAGCTCCTTGGCGCCCCCAGGGAAGGCTGTCAGGTTGCTGGAGTGAAGCAGGAAGGAGACAACACTTGGAGACTGCCCAGCACTCCCACAACAAAGAAGGCGATGACGGCAAGAGAAAGCTTTGGGTCCCCCTCACTGAAAGCGGGGAGAAGACCAACTCATACCCTCAAACGAGAGGGGGCCCTCTCTCTCTCTCCTCACCTGAAACTGGGCTGGTCTGTGGGGCTGGGCTGGGGCTCCTTAGGGCCCTGGGAGGACCCCTGGAGAGGTTCAACTCCCTGAACTGGCTCTTGCTCTGAGAACCCCAGCAAGTGTCTCCGGGGTTGAGGCTCCCCCTTGTTCATCCGAGGAGAGATGGGAGCTGAAGGAGGCTCACTGATGCTGTGGATAAAGAAGGACTGAGCACAATGAAGAATTTCAGCTGTATCAAGTATCTAGGTAAGAATAAAGACTCTGCAGATGGACTGCTTGAGTTGCAATCTGTTATACAAGCCTGAGTCTGCCTCTGTAAGATGGGAATAAGGATGGTCCCTACATACAAAAAAGACAGTGCATCACCTAGAGCCTAGAACTCAGTAAGCACTTAATAGTCACTATTTCTACCAGCATTATCACCATCATCTACTCTCCACTGGAAAAATAATGGAGCAGGAGGCCGGGCGAGGTGGCTCAAGCCTGTAATCCTAGCACTTTGGGAGGCTGAGGTGGGCAGACTGCCTGAGCTCAGGAGTTCGAGACCAGCCTGGGCAACAACAGTGAAACCCTGTCTCTACTAAAAAATACAAAAAATTAGCCGGGCATGGTGGCGTGCGCCTGTAGTCCCAGCTACTTGGGAGGTTGAGGCAGGAGAATCACTTGAACCCAGGAAGCAGAGGTTGCAGTGAGCCGAGATCGTGCCACTGCACTCCAGCCTGGGCAACAGAACAAGGCTCCATCTCCAAGAAAAAAAGACAAATAATGGAGCAGGAAGGGGCTGGCCAGACACATCATCGGTGCCAAGGACACCAGAACCATTTGTATATAAGCAGAAGGAAATGGCCTGGGCCAAAGCAGGCAGCTAGGAGGCTGTAACGTGGGCTCCACCTGGAAGGTTCTAGTGAAGCAAGGAAGGTCTCACCTGACAGGTCCAAAGTTGAAGGCAATGAAGAGAAGGAAGACCATGATGCAGACCACCTTCCTGTTTCCAGACCCTAACTTGAGCTCGCTGTTCTAAGGTACAAAGAAGGAGACAAGAAAAAGGGGAATCATTCCAAGGAGGCTGTATTCCTGTTGGTCTCCCAGGGACAGACTGGTCTTACTTCAGCCAGCAGGGCCTCCAGCCGCCGCCGGAGGGCAGCATTCTCTCGGCGGAGCTGCTGGTTGTCAGCCAGTACTGCTTGCAGCCGAGCCTCCAGTCCCTGCAGATACTCTTTCTTCTTTCTCCGGGACTGGCAGGCTGACTCCCGGTTCTTGATCATTCGCTGCTGCCGCTTCAGCAGCTTTGCCTAGGCACCCGGAAGGTCAAAAAAGAATGACAGATGAGTTGGCAGAAGGAGACTATGCTCTCAAACCCCAAGGAATGATTTACCCAAAGCTCACATGGCCATTCCCCTGCCTTCCTGACCCACCTACATAGCCAGAGAGGTTTTTCCTCTCTACTCAAACACGCTAGGGAAGGGGCCCTTCTTTCAAACATTCCCTGCTACTGCTCCTCAGAGGTGGGAAAGGTTAGAGTGTGGGAAGAACTTTCTCCATGCTGGTGGAAACTCTTTCCTTCGTAACTCTTTCTTCCTGTCAGCCCACATTTGTAGGGTTCAAAGTTTAACCTTGTTATACTGCTTATACAGTTTACCTGATTTTCCCCTAGGAGGCAGCCTCCCTCCCCAACTATGGCCATGACCGTAGTCGTATAGTACAGTACGACTTCCTTGCCTTTAATTTATGGAGACCAACCCCATTTCTCCATCTGCAGTGACAGCAAACCTAAAGGACCCTAAAACTACCTGGAGTTGATATTCATATAGAAACAGGAGTCCATTCTGACCCTCAGAATGATCTAATGGGTCCGTTTCCTCACTTTTTTCTCCTAGGTATCGACTCCCTCCTCATCCCACAGTTCTCTCTATGGCAAGACTTCCCTCTTCCCTTCCCATCACTCGCCCTACTTCTCTCCTCCCCAACACTTACATCCACTTCAGGCGGGCAGGAGTTTCCAGGCATAGGAGCGGGAACGATGCTCTTCCTCTCAGGCCGTGGTAGAGAGGGAGCCGGCCCTTCAGGCTGGACTCGAATAGCACCCTGGATGAGGACAACTGGGGACACTGGGGCAAGTGAGCAGAGGTCAGAGGGCTGTGCGCTGGGTGGGGTCCTTGTGTCCACACCCACACAAGAGCACCCAAGGATTGGGCAGCCTCAATGGCTGCAAGCTCTCTGACAGGGTCAATGCAGCCCGCCTCCTTTTCTCCTTTTTTTCTTTTTTGAGATGCAGTCTTGCTCTGTCGACCAGGCTGGAGTGCAGTGGTGCGATCTCGGCTCACTGCAAGCTCCGCCTCCCGGGTTCACGCCATTCTCCTGCCTCAGCCTCCCCAGCAGCTGGAACTACAGACGCACGCCACCACGCCTGGCTAATTTTTTTGTATTTTTAGTAGAGACGGGGTTTCACTGTGTTAGTCAGGATGGTCTCGATCTCCTGACCTTGTGATCCGCCTGCCTTGGCCTGCCAAAGTGCTGGGATTACAGGCGTGAGCCACTGTGCCTGGCCTTTTTTTTTTAATTAATTAATTAATTTTTATTTTTATTTTTTGGTTTTTCTTTTTTCTTTTTTTTTTTTTTGAGACAAAGTCTCGCTTTGTCGCCCAGGCTGGAGTGCAGTGGCATGATCTCGGCTCACTGCAACCTCCGCCTCCTGGGTTCAAGTGATTCTCCTGCCTCAGCCTCCCGAGGAGCTGGGATTACAGGCGCCTGCCACCACTCCACGCTAATTTTTGTATTTTTAGTAGAGACAAGGTTTCACCACGTTGGCCAGGCTGGTCTTAAACTTCTGACCTCAGGTGATTCGCCCGCCTCAGCCTCCCAAAGTGCTGGGATTACCGGCGTGAGCCACCATGCCCGGCCCTTTTCTCCTTCTTCAGTACCTGGGGGTGGCTGGACGAGGGACTGCAGAAGGACTGTGGTGCTGGGAGGCACAGCTCTGGATGGCATTGGGACAGTGGTTAGCACTACAGGTTTGGGCTGCAGTGGCGGCTTCCGGGTGGGCAGGGCTTTGCCTGAAGGAAGGTGAGAGAAAAGAACAAGAAATGTCAGGACCAAAGGCCTCTCACTAGGGATTCCAAGTGTCAGGAGACTCCATTACCTGAGGAGCCATCAAGGGATGGGCCCATGCTGATCTGGACAGCTCCAAGTGAGGGGGCTGGGACATCCCACAGGAGGCATCCTGAAGGCGACAGGGACTCTGTCTTCACTTCCAGGACCTCCTCTCCTATAAAAGCCTATGTGGGGCATTCCAGAGATACATTAGTCAGGAAGAGTGTCGAGGAGAAGGAGCTGAAGAAGGGAAAGCTCTCATACCTCTAGGTCAGGAGGAACTCACTGGAAAACCTGGAGGAAGGAAGGAAGGTGGTGCTCACCTGGCTGGAGGAGTCGGCTGAGAGCAGGGAGGCCTCAGAGTTGACGGAAGAACATGGAGAGACAGGTTCTATCTTGGTCTGGACATCTGTGGGAGGCAGGATGAGGCAAAAGCTGGATATCATGTAAACACTGAAGGGTTAAGAGGGTTAAGATGGGAGGCTGGGCATGGTGGCTCACGCCTGTAATCTCAGCACTTTGGGAGGCCAAGGCGGGCAGATCACCTGAGGTCAGGAGTTCAAGACCAGCCTGACCAACATGGAGAAACCCCGTCTCTACTAAAAATACAAAATTAGTCGGGCATGGTGGCGCATCCCTGTGTCCCAGATACTCAGGAGGCTGAGGCAGGAGAATCGCTTGAACCTGGGAGGCAAAGGTTGCAGTGAGCCAAGATCGCGCCATTGCACTCCAGCCTGGGCAAGAAGAGCAAAACTCCATCTCAAAAAAATAAAAAAGAGGGTTAAGATGGGGAAATGGGTCCTTTCTCTTTGAACCTGAAAATAAAACTCTTCTGGCCCTAGATTACAGGCCATCCAGGAGGGGCAGTCACAGAGCTGCTCACCTGCTGGCTCTCCGCCCCGCTTTTCGCCTAGTGCTTCCCTTTCTCCTTTAGTGGCTCCTCTGATTTTTCTCATCCCTGCTCCATGTTCCTCAAAGCTGTCTTTGCCCTTCTGCGTTTCCCTCTTTCTTGTTCACAGAACTTGTCTATTCACATAGAATAGGCCTGAGCAGGGGAAGTGGCAGGGGGGTCTCCAGCATTCACATGGCCCAAATTCCTATCTTGCTGGATTTCCACCTTATCCCTGCCCAATGCATCTCCATGCTGACAACCGCCAAGTGTGCATCTCCCCCTGGCTGCTCACCTGCACCAGATTCTGACTTCCAAGCTGCCTGCTGGTCCCTTCCATTCTCATGCCTCACCAGTCACCCAAATCTAACTGGCCATAAATGAGGCTTCCTGATTGCCCCGTCACACAAGTTTTCCTCCCAGGCACCAAACAGCAAAGCCTCAGTCACCTCTGAGCCTCCATGGCCTCCAATAAATCTGCCTTTATGACTTGTTGATCACTCCATGAAAGAAAATGCTAGGCCCCATGTCGGTGAAATAAAACCCTTCTGAGGGCCAGATTCAGCCCACAGGTCAACAGTCCACCACTACCTCTGGTCCATACCGTTCACTTTGGTACTTAATTATATGATCACTAAGATTGCTTTTTAAAACTTCAATTTATATTTTTGAATAGATAATACAGTCATGATACAAATCCAAACGAACAAAGGAAAATTAAGTCAAAAAAAAAATCTTGGCGGGGCACGGTGGCTCACGCCTGTAATCCCAGCACTTTGGGAGGCCGAGGCAGGTGGATCACGAGGTCAGGAGATCGAGACCATCCTGGCTAACACGGTGAAACCCCGTCTCTACTAAAAAAATAGAAAAATTAGCCAGGCGTGGTGGCGGACGCCTGTAGTCCCAGCAACTTGGGAGACTGAGGGAGGAGAATGGCATGAACCCAGGGGGCGGAGCTTGCAGTGAGCCGAGATTGCGCCACTGCACTCCAGCCTGGGTAGAGCGAGACTCTGTCTCAAAAAAAAAAAAAAAAAAAACTTCCCTTCCCGGTCCTCCAGTCACTCAGATTCCCTACACAGAGATAACCACTATCAGAACTATTTAACCATGGCTGGGCATGGTGGCTCACGCCTGTAATCCCAGCACTTTGGGAGGCCGACACCCAACGCAGGTGGATTGCTTGAAGCCAGGAGTTTGACACCAGCCTGAACAACATGGCAAAACCCTGTCTCTACCAAAAATACAAAAAAATAGCCGGACATGGTGGCACGTGCCTGTAGTCCTAGCTATTAGGGGGGCTGAGGCAGGACAATAGCTTAAACCCAGGAAACGGAGGTTGCAGTGAGTGGAGATCACGCCAATGCACTCTAGCCTGGGTGACAGGGCAAAACTCTGTCTCAAAAAAAAAAAAAAAAAAAAAAAAAAGGGAACTATTTAACCATGATGTATTATAACCCTCACAAAACTCTCCAAAAGCAAGAACTATGTCTCATGTCCATTGAGGGTAAAGTACAGGCCCTCAAAAAATACCTAAGTATGGAGGAGAATCTGACTCTAATAACACTATGCAATGCAAAGCCACCAACAATCCTTACAATCCTTTTGCTGCTAATAGCAGTGGGCGATCTCGGCTCACTGCAAGCTCCGCCTCCCGGGTTCACCCCATTCTCCTGCCTCAGCCTCCCGAGTAGCTGAGACTACAGGTGCCTGCCACCATGCCTGGCTAATTTTTTGTATTTTTAGTAGAGATGGCGCTTCACTGTGTTAGCCCGAATGGTCTTGATCTCCTGACCTCGTGATCTGCCCGCCTTGGCCTCCCAAAGTGCTGGGATTACAGGTGTGAACCACTGTGCCTGGCCTGCTAATGGTATTTCAATCCTTATTTTGTGTATCTTTTTTATAACATGTATTAATCTGCTAGATATAATCTGTTTGTCCCTCCAAATCCACTTTCCATCCCTCCCTGCTGTGCTCCCTGAGATCCAGGGAGAATCTGAATGGACTGCATCAGCGGGCTCCCTGGTTGGAGTTCAGCCAGTGAGAGATGGTGCCAGGAGATCCAGAAGGTACTTTGAAATCAACAATCAACATGTCAACTGGGCATGGTGGCTTACGCCTGTAATCCCAGCACTTTGGGAGCCAAAGTGGGTGGATCACCTGAGGTCGGGAATTCAAGACCAGCCTAACATGAAAGAAGCCCTGTCTCTACTAAAAATACAAAATTAGCCAGGCGTGGTGGAGCATGCCTGTAATCCCAGCTACTCAGGAGGCTGAGGCAGGAGAATCGCTTGAACCCAGGAGGCAGAGATTACAGTGAGCCAAGATCACACCACTATTGCACTCCAGCCTGGGCAACAAGAGTGAAGCTCCATAACAACAACAACAACAGAATCAACATGTCCAACGCTGAATTCATCATCTTCCCTGACCAGAAAGCCCCTGCTTTTGCAGTCTCCATCCAGTGAACAGTAACATCACCCACCCACAGCCATCCTAGCCACAAACCTCTTTGACTCCTACCTCTCTCCAATGTCCAGGAGGTCACAACTCATCTATTCCACTTCATTCTTTCTCAAGTCTGCTTTCTTCATGACATCCGAATATCTTACTTGATCAACTGCATAAGCTTCTTCCTTGGTTCTCTTGCCTCTGGCCCTGCCCCTCTGCAACCCATTCTCTACTTTGCCACTAGAATCATCTTCCTAATCATATTACTTCCCTGCTTAATTCTCCAAAGGCCCCCACCTATCCACAGGATAAAAGCTAAGAGCCCCTTAGCAGGGGCCCCACCTGGCCCTGTAGCCCCTGCAGTTCCACATCACTCCCCAAATCCTTCTTACATCCACTCTGAAGAAATGCAGGGTCCTCAGACACAAGTCAACCCCCACACTGTCCTCCTGGCTAATTTCTACGTGTCCTTTAAAACTCTCAGGAAACCCTTCTTCCAGGGGCACATCCCAGATTCAGCGCCAATGTGGATGAAATGTCCCCTCTTATGAGCTTTCATGGTACCCTCTAGTGATTTTTTTTTTTTTTCCAGACGGAGTCTTGCTCTTTTGCCCAGGATGGAGTGCAGTGGCGTGATCTCGGCTCACTGCAAGCTCCGCCTCCCGGGTTCATGCCATTCTCCTGCCTCAGCCTCCCAAGTAGCTGGGACTACAGGCTAATTTTTTGTATTTTTAGTAGACACGGGGTTTCACCATCTTAGCCAGGATGGTCTCAATCTCCTGACCTCGTGATCCGCCCACCTCGGCCTCCCAAAGTGCTGGGATTACAAGCATGAGCCACCACACCCAGCCCCACCTCTAGTGATTTCTATCCTAGAATGACCACACCTGTATTGACTGGTACTTGTCTTTCTCCCATTACCAAATCACAGGGTTTGAAAGTCAGCATGGTGGTCAGGTCTTGTTCATCTTTGCATTCCCAGCATGCTGCTCAGTATCTGGCATGGAGTAGGTGCTTAATAAATATTTCTTTTTTATAATTATTATACCTCAGATATGATCACATCAATAAACATTTACTAAATACACAGCTACGAGTAAATAAACTTGGGAACACTTTAAAAATAGAACAAATAATGTTAATTGTAGAATCTAGTTTAGTATATGGTGTTCTAGCCTTTCTGTATGTTTAAAAATGTTTATGGGCTGGGCGCGATGGCTCACGCCTGTAATCTCAGCACTTTGGGAGGCGGAGGTAGGCGACTCATGAGGTCAGGAGTTCAAGACCAGCCTGGCCAACATGGTGAAACCCCATCTCTACTAAAAATACAAAAAATTAGCTGGGCGTGGTGGTGGGTGCCTGTAATCCCAGCTACTTGGGAGGCTGAGACAGGAGAATCACTTGAACCTGGGAGGTGGAGGTTGCAGTGAGCTGAGACCACACCACTGCACTTCAGCCCGAGCGACAGTGTGAGACTCTGTCTCAACAACAACAAAAATGTTTATAATAAAATGTTGGGTGGAGGGGAATCACACAGATACATATGCCCTAAACTGCTCACAAGTTTTTAAAAAGTAAGTTGAATGGCATGACAGAATACTAGGAACAAGAAAAAGAGAGAAAAATAATATCCATCTCCTCAGCACTGCCCTTGCTGTGGTTCCCTGAAATGTTTCCTCTCCTTCCTGCCTTCCCTCCTGGTTTTCTGCCATTTCCCCTCCCCACCTTTTTCTCCCTGTCCTGCTGCCTGCACTTCCCCTCCATCTACACACATACACACACACACATAACACATTCTCCCGTAGTAGAGCCAAGGATTGGGGGCAGGCTGTTTTATTACCTGAGGAATCATCAGAGGTGGGGATAACGTTGATCTGGACGGTTTCAAATGAGGATGTTGGGTCATCTCCCAGGAGACACAGTGGGGGTGCCAAGGACTCTGTCTTCACATGGAGCACCTCCCCTACCCCAAGAGCCTGGGTGAGAGTTGGTGTGGGGCAGGGGGCAGAAAGAAGGGCAAAAAACAAGGGAGATGTTGACAGTAAGAGCGAGAACAAAAGCTTTAGAAGTTTAGGGCTTACAAGCCATCAATTATTTGACATTCTGGTCTGAATGGTACTGACCATCTTTCTAACCTGTTCATTCTTTCTACTTTATTTCTGGGAGAATTGATGAAGTCTCATGACTTCAAATATGGCCTCAGAGTGGACAACTTGGGCAAGAACAGTTCCAGAATTCTCAGCAGTCAATAACTCTCTTCTTCCCAGCCCCACATAACTCTTTATATTAAAAAGACCCAAGATCAGGCGTGGTGGCTTATACCTGTAATCCAAGCACTTTGGGATGCCAAGGTGGGAGGATCACTTGAGCCCAGGAGTTTAAGTCCACTCTGGGCAACATAGGAAGACCCCATTTTTACAAACAATAAAAAAAATTAGCCAGACATGGTGGCATGTGTCTGTGGTCCCAACTACTCAGGAGGCTGAGGCAGGAGGATCACCTGAGCTCAGGAGGTCAAGGCTACAGTGAGCTGTGACCCCGTCACTACACTGTAGTTTGGGTGACAGAGGGAGGCCCTATCTCAAAAAAAAGCAAAAAACAAAAAACAAACAAACAAAAAAATCTTCACTGCTAGATAACCAAAGGGGATGTGGAAAATGAAGATATTAAGGAAACGGCAAAGGTAGTGGAGAAGGCCCCCCACACCTCACACACCTCATGACTCATAGCACACAAATCATTTAAATCATTTCTTTGTCACCCACGGGTGAAGGGAATGAAGCAGAGTCCCCGTCACAGAGAGTAAGAGGGATATGGCTCTCTCACCTCGCTGGATGGCTCTGTGGAGAGACGCGATGACTCGGAGCTGAGGGAGGAGGAAGAGCAGGGGGAAGATGGCTCAGACTTCACCTGAAGATCTGGAGGAAAGGGAGTTAGAAATTATCAGGAAGCAGAGCTTAAGAAGAGTCCAAAAAGTACCCAAGGACATGTCGGTGGGGATTCCTGTACCGCAGCAAGGGAGAAGAAACAAAAATAGGGGATTGAAGGAGAGAGGATAGGCACTTATGTAGAAGCGTGAGGATATAGGAAGCTACGTAGTTTCTGGGAAACAGTGGGAAGATGAGGGTTTCTGGAAATCTGAGGGAACGACAAAGACTACCTTACCTGGGAAGATCGGCAGGAGTTCCCATGGGGGCTCAGAGGGGCTGACATCCATCCCCACGTCCAGGGAGCTGCCGTCAAACTAAATAAGGGAGGATACAAGAGGGCAGGAGTGTGAGAAAGGATGAGAAAGTAGGGGTGACTCCAGATGAGTTATGGCCTGTGAATGGGTCCAGGTTCTGGGCTCACTTTCCACCCACCAAGGGTTAGAGAAAGGCTGGGGACACAATACCGGGACATCCTGCTCCGGGCAACGGAAGAGCTGCGTCTGCTCCTCGGCCACTTCATCTAGGCCAGAATACAAGGTGCTGTCTGCAAGAAATGCTGAGCGTCGGGGGGTCGTTCGGTGGCCCCAGCCTACAGATCGCACACAAGCCCCCGCCCCATCCCTCATTGGCTCCGCTCGGCCAGACCCACCGCCCGCCCACTTGAAAAGTGATACAACCAGGGCGCTTCAGCCCCTCCTTCCCCGACCCCGGAACAACTCGACGTTCCAGCAGGGAGCAGAGTTCTTCCCTGACTTTTGTATCCCCCTTAATGCACAACGAGCCCCCTGCTCCGCTCTCCTTCAGATGGCGGATTCCGTATTTGCCCAGACTTCCTCTTTAGGCCCCCGCTTCTTTCCCGCGTGCCTCAGGGACAGTTTGCCACAGCCCTCTCCCCTCCCCGGTGCCTCACTCTGCAGACCCCAGTCCTCCGGGCTAAGCAGGTTGTCGGTGAAGAAACGCGTCGGGTCAGCAATCTCGCTGAGCAGCATCAGCTCCGCCATCTTTCCCCCCCACCCCCCAACCAGGAGACGGTTCCCAAGGCCCGCCTCTCCCCATCACCAACTAATCAGTTGACTCTTTCAAAAAAGGGGGCGTCCCGGAAGCTCTACCGACCAGTAAGAGACCTGGGTGCTGAGCACGTGAATCAACAGATGCGGATGACTGTGTAGGCGGGCCCAATGGGAGCACAGCAGCAGGAAGTAACTTCCAGACAGTGCCATACCGCCAAGCGCATGCGCCAAACAGGCTCCAGTGATAAAGCGCCTGGGAGATGTAGTACCCAGTATTAAGGTCCACCATCTCCCCCAGCCACTACTAAGTTTAGTTTAGACAGCTTCTATGTGTCCTCGGAGATAGATAAGCCCCTCAAAAGGGGCGCACTGTGACCACTGCTACCTCCCCTAGGAAGCCAAAAGCTGAGAATGGGATATGGGCTGAAACCTTCCCTCTGGCCCCCCACCCCCAAATCTCACAGCACAGACCACAATTCACAAGTTCCTGTCTCTTTTAAGGTTTAACTTTTAATCAGCCAAACATCTTGCGCAGACCCTGAGCCAGCCCTGCATCCTGGTTCTTCCCCTGAATGACCACCTTCCCCAGTTCCTCCTGGGCTGCCCGGTTTTTGGGATCTATCGCCAGCACCTTCTTGAGGTCAGCAGTTGCTTTTTCCAGGTTCCCAAGGGCAGCCTGGGCAACCCCCCTTCGGTATAAGGCCTTTAAATGGCCAGGCTCCCGCTCCAACACCCGGTCACAGCTCTGGGCTGCCAACTGAGGCTGCCCTAGCAACAACTGACAGGCAGCCAGATTGGCATGAAGGACAGTTCGTTCTGGAGGGCCAGGTGGGGGTAAAGTCAGGAGCAGCCGAAGAGCCCGTCCATAGCATCGGGCAGCTCCTTCAGGGTTCCCAGCTCGAAATAGTTCTGTGCCCCTTGCACGTTCTTCCCTGGCCAGGGCTTCCTTCTCGCTAGTCTCCAGCTCCCAGGAGTCTCGGCCTTGAGTGAAGGATGCCAGTGTGAGCCTGACAGGAGGTCCAGAGTGCCCAGGCAGCTGAAGCTCTGCTTCCTCACCTTGACACATGGACTCCAAGCATTTCTCTATGAGCTCCCCCCAAGTTTCCTCCCTCCATGGCCCTACGCCCATAGTTAGCTCTGTCCAGCCCTCTGGCGGCCCTGATCCGAAAGGAAACCCCAAAGCCAGTACCCGGCAGCAGGAGCCTAGTTTGGGTTTGTCCAAGCCATGGCCACGGATTACGATCTTCTTGACAAAGCTCCCATCGGGGCAGTACCAGAGATCAGAAGCTTGAAGGGCCTCTGGCATCTGACTGGTTGATCCATGAGACTTATGAGAGTCTCCTTCAAGTTCAGCAACCAGTTTTTCAGCTCCTTGAGTATGCTCTAGAATTTGGCTGGCTGGATCTGGGCTTACTTCCAGCTCAAGCGTTTCGGTAGGAGGGTCTCGGGGCTGCTGCCTAATCTGAATAACTGAATCAAGGTTCTCCCGAAGGTTCTTTTCCCACTCTTGTTGCGGCTGAGAGGTGTCCTTTTCTCCAATTGTATTGACTGGTGGCGTCTCCATATGGATGCTTAGTCCCTTCCACGGTGAGTGAACAGTTTTGGTCAGAAAGGGATAAACCAGGTTCAGGTCAGCACCTGAAAAGAAAACCAAACAATGCTAATAGCAGGGTTCTTATTTAGACTCCTTTCTCGTCCTTTCCCATTCTTCTGAGACCCAGGCCCCTAGTCCTGAAAGTCCCCAGTTTTGCTTTCCTCCAAAAATCTGCTCCAGCTTCCCCGTTCCACCCACATATAATTTAGAACTATAAATTCCACAATTCCCTGCGGTTAAGGTAGCCGCGCCAACTACGGACACCCGGTCGGGTCAATAAGTACCTGCGCGGCCAAAGTGCCTAGCATGGTGACAGGAGGAGCCGGGCCATTCGAATCACCTCTCCTTCCAAAGCTAAATGGCTACTGAATGCTGCCCTCGGAGCCTTGCCCCACGCGGAGAGGGCAGCCGGAGAGGGGCGCGGTGCGGGAGGCGGGGGTAGGGGGCGGAACAACTGGGAAAGATACTGACAACTAACCCTGGAGCCCGCGAGACTCCGAATCTAGTCAAATTCCTGGCAGCCAATCGGGAGAAGGGAGGAATCTGGTTAGCCCGCCTATTGAACGTGACATCATTTCCTCCGCAACCATGAAGCTCCAGGCCTTAGCAACTGAACTAGGCCAGAGCAACCGAACTAGGCAGAATCGAACAGAATTTGGCGCGGTCGGGCTGGCCAGGCTGCTCAAGAGTCAAAGTGGGCCAACATGGTGAGACCCTGTCTCTACTAAAAATACAAAAATTAGTAGGTCATGGTGGCGCGCGCCTGTAATCCCAACTACTCGGAAGGCTGAAACAGGAGAATCGCTTGAACCCGGGAGACAGACGTTGCAGTGAGCCGAGATCACACCATTGCACTCCAGCCTGGGCGACAGAGCGAGACTAGAGACTCCGTCTCAAACAAAAAAAAAAAAAAAAAAAAAAAAAAGGTGGGCCGGGCGCGGTGGCTCACGCCTGTAATCCCAGCACTTTGGGAGGTTGAGGTCAGGAGTTCAAGACCAGCCTGGCCAACATGGTGAAACCCCGTCTCTACTAAAAATGCAAAAATAGCTCGGCGTGATGGCGGGCGCCTATATCCCAGCTACCCAGGAGGCTGAGGCAGGAGAATGGCTTACCTGGGAAGCGGAGGTTGCAGTGAGCCGAGATCGCGCCATTGCACTCCAGCTTTGGCAACTGAGACTCTGGGAGGCTGAGGTGGGCGGATCACGAGGTCAGGTGATCGAGACCATCCTGGCAACATGGTGAAATCTCGTCTCTACTAAAAATACAAAAAGTTAGCTGGGCATGGTGGCGTGTGCCTGTAATCCCAGCTACTTGGGAGGCTGAGGTGGGAGAATCGCTTGAACCAGGGAGTCGGAGGTTGCAGTGAGCCGAGATGGTGCCACTGCAATCCAGCCTGGCGACAGAGCAAGATTCCCGCCTCAAAAATAAATAAATAAATAAATAAAAAGCCGGGCATCGCGCACGCCTGTAATCCCAGCAATTTGGGAGGCCGAGGCGGCGGGGGGGGGCGGGGCGGGGGGGAGGGGGCGGGGCGGCGGGGGGATCACTTGAGGTCAGGGGTTCGAGACCAGCCTGGACAACATGGTGAAACCCCGTCTCTACTAAAAATACAAAAAATTAGCTGGGCGTGGTGGCGGGCACCTATAGTCCCAGCTACCCGGGAGGCTGAGGCAGGAGAATGGCATGAACCCGGAAGGCGGAGCTTGCGGTGAGCCAAGATCGTGCCACTGCGCTCCAGCCTGGGCGACAGCGCAAGACTCCGTCTCAAACAAACAAACAAACAAACAAAAAGTCAAAGTGTAGAGAAGTCCTGGAATGGAGACTGGGGGCGGATGACAATAGAGTGGAGAATGGCAGAGGTCGTGGTAAATGATAGTGGCAGCAGCCTTTTATCTGGAGACTTCAGGCCCTCCTATGCTAACTATCTTTATGTTCAGAGCTCATTCAGTACAGGGTGTTCTCCAGGATAAAACCTCGGGACTCTCTCTCCAACCGGCCCTGTCCCTTGGGTGACTACCTGAGGCTTCTCTTTACCTTTCCTTTCACATCCATCATTGCCTTTCAAGTCCTCCTTCATCAAGAAATCTTAGTGCTTTTCAAACATAAGTGTGCATACATATCACCTAGGGAACTTGTTAAGTTGCAGATTATGATTTAGGAAGTCTGTTGTGGGGCCTGTGATTCTGCATTTCAATAAGCTGGTTAATGCAGATGCTGCTGGTTCATAAGCCGTATGTTTTTCTTTTTTTTTTTTTTTTTTTAGAGAGATGGGGTCTGCTGTGTTTACCAGGCTGGTCTCAAACTCCTGGCCTCAAGCCATCATCCCATCTCAGCCTCCCAAAGTGCTGGGATTATAGGTGTGAGCCACCACACCCAGCAATGAACCAATGGGATGAGATTCTAGAACAGTCTCATCCCATTGTCTTCTCCCCTGGCTCTGTGCCCCTTTAGTTTATCCTACATTTTACATGTATAACTGGTGTGACCTGCTCCACTGGATGTTGCAGGTTCTCCTCCTAATAGAAGATGTAGAGACCTATTGTGATTCAGTCTTGCTTGTCCAGCTACCTACACAGCCTGGGCTACCACAGTTCTCCAGGAAAGAAGGATCCCTCTCTTGAGTACCTCACTTTGGCTCCCTCTTAAGTTTGCTCTCACCATTGTGCCTCAGACTATAAAAACCATGCCAGGACAGCCAGGAAGGGAGACGGTTTCATCATTAGCCAAAGACTTGTGTCAAAACAATTCTCTCCCTGGTTTTGTTTGTTTGTTTTTGTTTTTTTGTTTTTTGTTTTTTTTGAGACGGAGTATCACTCTGTCACGCAGGCTGGAGTGCACTGGCGAGATCTCGGCTCATTACAACCTCTGCCTCCCAGGTTCAAGCGATTATCCTGCCTCAGCCTCCCAAGTAGCGGGGATGACAGGCACCTGCCACCATGCCTGGCTAATTTTTGTATTTTTAGTGAAGATGGGGTTTCACCATGTCAGCCAGGCTGGTCTCAAACTCCCGACCAGAAGTGATCTGCCCACCTCGGCTTCCCAAAGTGTTGGGATTACAGGCGTGAGCCACGGCGCCAAGGCAGGCGGATCACTTTAGGTCAGGAGTTTGAGACCACCTGGCCAACATGGTGAAACCCCGTCTCTACTAAAAATACAAAAATTAGCTGGTGTGGCGCATGCCTGTAGTCCCAGCTACTCAGGAGACTGAGGCAGGAGAATCGCTTGAACCTGGGAGGCGGAGGTTGCAGTGAGCTGAGATCGCGCCACTGCACGGAGGCCGAGGCGAGCGGATCACAAGGTCAATATGGTGAAACTCCGTCTCTATTAAAAATTCAAAAATTAGCCTGGCGTGGTGGCACACGCCTATAGTCCCAGCTACTTGGGAGGCTGAGACAGAAGAATCGCTTGAACCCAGGAGGCGGAGGTTGCAGTGAGCCAAGATCACACCATTGCACTCCAGCCTGGGCGACACAGCAAGACTGTCTCAAAAAATAAATAAATAAATAAACACAAATACAAATATAGGCATTGAAACCCCTAAAAAAAACCTAATCCAAATCATCATGTATGAAAATATTTCTCTTTTTAAAAATATGGCCCATCAAGAGGTAAGCACAAACTTAAAGTTTTAGAAGAGTTCCCCAGAGAAGATAGCCATGGACCTGTAGATTCCCCCTAGTCTTAACTTGAGAAACACAGGACTAGGAAGGGACCAACAACCTGTGAAGATTCAGAAATAGGAAAGAGTGGCCAGGCGCAGTGGCTCATGCCTGTCATCCCAGCACTTTGGGAGGCCAAGGTGGGTGGATCACTCGAGGTCAGGAGTTTGAGACCAGTCGGGCCAACATGGTGAAACCCCGTCTTTACTAAAAATACAAAAATTAGGCTGGTGTGGAGGTGTGTGCCTGTAGTCTCAGCTACTTAGGAGGCTGAGGCAGGAGAATCGCTTGAACCCGGGAGGCAGAGGTTGCAGTGAGCCGAGATCACACCACTGCACTTCAGCCTGGCGACAAAGTCGCCTTATCCAATTTCCTTTCCTTTCCTGAGGTAGAAAGGAATTTGAGAAATTCTGTCTCAAAATAATAATTTGTAAAAAAAGAAATAAGAAAGAGTATAGGCTCTCCCCCAAAGTGTAGATACTACATGCTTGTTGACTGACTCACACTATCTTCCTCAAGTCTAATTGTGCCAGAGCTCAGCTCTTTGGAGGCAGTCATCAAGGAATCAAGACGAAAGAGAGCCACAAACCAGGAAGATTATATCCTTAAGCCTGGCTAGAGAACAAGACATTTGAGAAAGATACATAAAGAGGATGACAAGTGAAATTTGCTTATCTGTTGGGATAGATGCTTGGACTGGAAAGTGGGGAAACAGCAATGTCTCTCTCCTCTCCCTTTCCCCTAAAGATTTGAGAATGAAATGGAAGATGAGCAGGCATGAGAGGAAGAGATGAAAAGGAATCTTCTTCCCCAAGGGACTGGATCCAGTCTCTTCTTGTCACTACAAATTGTCCTCTGCTCCCTCTCTTCCTTTGGTGTTGCAGGGACCAACATCACCAATACCTCCAGAAATCGTGTGAATGCAAATGGGACATACTTACCCCGTCTTGCTACACAGAAACCTCTCGAAAAGTGAGACTCTGGGTTAAGAAGGTCAAAGAGGGCCAGGTGCAGTGGCTCACGCCTGTAATCCCAGCACTTTGGGAGGCCAAGGCGGGCAGATCACATGAGGTCAGGAGTTCGAGACCAGCCTGGTCAACATTGTAAAACCCCATCTCTACTAATAAAATATAAAAATTAGCCAGGTGTGGTAGCGGGCGCCTGTAATCCCAGCTACTTGGGAGGCTGAGGCAGGAGAATCGCTTGAACCTGGGAGGCAGAGGTTGCAGTGAGCCAGGATCACACCATTGCACTCCAACCTGGGCAATAGTGTGAAACTCCGTCTCAAAAAAAAAAAAAAAGGTCAAAGAGACATCTAGGAGAATGCAAGAACTTGGGAGGAGGGCAATAATTCTGCTCTCTATGATTGCAGAATGTTAACTCCATTTTGGAACAATTCTCCACTCCTTTAAGTGAAGAAAATTGGACTGAGGGAAACCATATTTGACAAGTTTCTGGGGATTTACCTGCAAATATATTTACATCTTACCTGGAGTCACTTCCCTCCTTCCTTTTTTCTGGGTCCTCCCCTTCTAAGATGGCTCAGAGAAACTGGCCATACTCTGTTATTCTCCTTGTTCTATCCCAGAAGGGCATTGTTTGCCTTCATTCAAGACCTAACCTGAAGCCTGGGCAACATAGAGACCCTGCCTCTACAAAATAAAAATTAGCTAGGCAGGGTGGTGCACCTGTAGTCCTAGCTATTCAGGAGGCTAAGGCGGAAGGATTACTTGAGCCCAGGAGTTGAGACTGCAGTGAGCTAGGATCACACCACTGTACCCCAGCCTGGGCAACAGAGTGAGACCCTGTCTTTTAAAAAAAAAAAAAAAAAAAAAAAAAAGAGTTAACCTGAGGCAGAACCCAAGGAGAGGTTCAGGAGCTGGCTTGAGGTAGTTTGCCAGCTAGTGGTTGTTTCATCTTGTTCCTGCACACAGAGCATATGATGCTTGCCCTCTAAATGGATGAAGTAGAATTTTTTTCTTATTCATTCAGTAGCCCTTATTGAATACCCAGAATTTGCCAGTGAAATATGGAGACAAATACGGAGAATCCCCACCAGTAATCTAATGAGAGTGAAAAGTCAGATTAGCCAATGCTCCAGATGCAAAGGAAAAAGTGATAAGTGGCAGGGGAGTTATTTTCAACTGGGGTTGATCTGAAAATACCTCATGGATGGCTTCAGAGAGTTGAGACTTGAAAGAGGGCCGCAAATTTGATATGCAGAAATGGAAGAGACTGCCGGGCACGGTGGCTCATGCCTGTAATCCCAGCACTTTGGGAGGCTGAGGCGGGTGGATCACAAGGTCAAGAGATCGAGACTATCCTGGCTAACATGGTGAAACCCCGTCTCTACTAAAAATACAAAAATTATCTGGGCGTGGTCGCATGTGCCTGTAGTCCCAGCTACTTGGGAGGTTGAGGCAGGAGAATCGCTTGAACCCAGGGGGCGGAGGTTGCAGTGAGCCAAGATGGCGCCACTACACTCCAGCATGACGCCAGCGCAAGACTCCATCTCAAAAAACAAAACAAAACAAAACAAAACAGAAAAAAAGAAAAAGAAAAAGAAATGGAAGAGATTTATTGCAGGTGGAAGAAGCAGCACAAGGTAGGAGAAGTAAGGAAAGCCACTTAACACCCAGGATTATTCCTCTCCAGTCTGTGAGTCTCAGTTTTCCCAGGCTATTCCAATACTCCTTTGTGCTGCCCTGTCACCAGGCATTGAGCTGGTTGGAAGTTTTTACACTCTCACATTCCCCTGCGTTCTATACTCACCACATGGAACCATATGCTGCACTTATTCTCTTCCATTTATTATCTGCATGAGAGACAAAAATTCTAGCTTTCCAAAAGCTAAATAAATTTCCCCTTCTGTTTAGCTTTGGTGGTTTCTGTGGCTTTTAGTTTTGCTGGGATTTGTGTCAAAATCGTTCCTCCCTCCTTTTTGGTCCCAAAGCATTTTGCTGTGCTTCCCTTATAGTCAGGGTTTTCAAGCAGGAGGGAGGCAGCCTTTTTGGCAGTGAAGTGTTTAATGATAACAGCTTCACCTTACTAAACGCTGGCCATGCATTATGACCGTAATACTCAGCATTGTTCTAAATGTCTTGTATATATTAGCTATTTTTCTCTCACACAACTCTATGAACTACTTATTCATTCAGTGATTCAAAGAATTTTGTTTGTTTGGTTGGTTGGTTTTTGTTCTTGTTGCTGTTTTGAGATGACGTCTCGCTCTGTCACCCAGGCTGGAGTGCAGTAGCGTGATCTCGGCTCACTGCAACCTACGCCTCCTGGGTTCAAGTGATTCTCCTGCCTCAGCCTCCTGAGTAGCTGGGACTACAGGTGTGCACCCCCACGCCCGGCTAACTTTTGTATTTTTTTTAGTAGGGACAGGGTTTCACCATGTTGGTCAGGCTGGTCTCGGATTTGTGACCTCACGATCCGCCCACCTCAGCCTCCCAAAGTGCTGGGATTACAGGCGTGAGCCACTGCGCCCAGCCAAGAAATCTTTACTGAGGGCCTCCTTTGTACCAAGCACTGTGCTACATGCTGGGAATAAGGCAGTGGAAAAAGCCTTGGATCTCTGGTAACTTACATTGAATTGAAGATGACAGACGATAAAAAAATCAATAAAATTTAATACAATGTCAGGCACTAACAAGTGCTATGAACACCATGAAGCAGGGTGAGGGGTAAGGGAATGGGATAGAAAGTGCTCCCAGGTATGCATGGTGCTATATTTATTGATGATGATTATTATTATTATTTATAGAGTCTTGCTCTGTTGCCCAAGCTGGAGTGCAGTAGTGTGGTCATGGCTCACCGCAGCCTTGACCTCCTGGGCTTAAGTGATCCTCCCACCGCAGCCTCATGAGTAGCTGGGACTGCAGGTTCATGCCACCATGTCTGGCTAATTTTTTTTTTTTTTTTTAGAGACGAGGTTTCACTATGTTGCCTGGGCTGGTCTCAATCTCCAGGCCTCAAGCAATCCTCCTGCCTCTGCCTCCCAAAGTGCTGAGATTATAAGCAAGAGCCACTGTGCCTGGCCATGGTACTATATTTAATCAAGTGATGAGGGAAAGCCTCCTTGTGGAGGTGATGTTTGTGCAGATATAAATGACATAAAGGAGCAGTCATGCAAGTATCTGGAGGGAGAGTGTCCAGGAAAAGAAAAAGAGAGTGCAAAGGCCCTGAGGTAGAAAGGAATTGGATTTTTATGTTAAATTCAGAAAGGAGGTCAGAGTGAGTGGAGCAGAGTGAGCAAGGGAAAGAGTGGTAAGGGATGAAGACAGAGAGGTGGGGAGAAACAAGGCCAGGTAGGCTTCATAGGCCATGGGAAGGACTTTTTATTTTGTCCCACATGTGATCAGGAGGCATCAGAGGGTTTTGAGCAGGTAAATGATATCATCTGGTAATTTTAAAGATCACTCTGGTTTCTTCATAGAGGGTAGGCCACATCAGTAAAAAATAGAAGCAGAAAATCCAATTAAGGGACAAAGGAAGGGACAATGGAATCATGGGAGCTTGGATTAGGGTAGAGGAGAGGGCCAAGAATAGAGTCCAGAGGCTCTCTAATATTTAAAGGTCTGGAAAAGGAATAGGAGCTGTCAGTGAAGACTGAGAAGGAGCAGTAAATAAGGAACTAGGGAATGCTTTCTTTCTTTTTTGTTTTTGAGACAGCCTGTTGCCTAGGCTGGAGTGCAGTGGGGTTACCATGGCTCACTGCATCCTCGACTTCCCAGGTTCAAGTGATCCTCCTACCTCATCCTCCCAAATAGCTGGGACCACAGGTGTGTGCCATTATGCCCAGATAATTTTTTAATTTTTTGTAGAGATGGGGACTCCTTATGTTGTCCAGGCTGGTCTCAAACTCCTGAACTCAAGTGATCCATCTGCCTCAGCCTCCCAAAGTGCTGGGATTACAGATATGAACCACTGCACCTGGCAGGATAATTTTTTTCTTCTTTCTTTTCTTTTTTTTCCCCCACAATTTTAAACCCAAGCAGTACACCTGGTTGGTTGTTACATGATTACATTGCATCCTGGTGGGGATTGGGCTTCTAGTGGTGTACCTGTTACCCAAATAGTGAACATTGTACCCAATAGGTAAATTTTTTTTTTTTTTTGAGATGGAGCCTCACTCTGTTGCCCAGGCTGGAGTGCAGTGGCGCTATCTCTGCTCACTGCAACCTCCTCCTCGCCCCAGGTTCAAGTGATTCTCCTGCCTCAGCCTCCTGAGTAGCTGCAATTACAGGCTCACGCCACCATGTCAGGCTAATTTTCATGTTTTTAGTAGAGACGGGGTTTTGCCGTGTTGGCCAGGCTGGTCTCGAACTCCTGACCTCAGGTGATCTGCCCGCCTCTGTCTCCCAAAGTGCTGGGATTACAGGCGTGAGCCACTGTGCCCGACTTTTTTTTTTTTTTTTTTTTTCCCGTGATGGGGTCTCACTCTGTAACCCAGGCTGGAGTGCAGTGGTGTGACTCCAGCTCACTGCAACCTCTGCCTCCCTGGTTCAAGTGATCCTCCCACTTCAGATTCCCAAGTAGCTGGGACCACAGGCACATACCACTATGCCCAGCTAATTTTTTGTGTTTTTGGTAGAGACTAGGCTTGTCTCGAACTGCTGAGCTCGAGTGATCCACCTGCCTCGGCCTCCCAAAGTGCTGGGATTACAGGCATGAGCCGTCACACCCAGCCAAATATTTGGTTTTCTATGTTTGAGTTAGTTCACTTAGGATAATGGCCTCCAGCTTCATCCACGTTGTTGCAAAGGACATGATTTCATTTTTTTTTTTTTTTTTTTTTTGAGATGGAGTTTTTCTCTTGTCGCTCAGGCTGGAATGCAATGGCATGATCTTGGCTCACTGCAACCTCCGCCTCCCAGGTTCAAGCGATTCTCCTGCCTCAGCCTCCTGAGTAGCTGGGATTACAGGCACGTGCTACCATGCCTGGCTAATTTTGATATTTTTAGTAGAGACGGGGTTTCACCACATTGGCCAGGCTGGTCTCAAACTCCTGACCTCAGGTGATCTGCCCACCTCGGCCTCCCAAAGTGGTGGGATAACAGGCGTGAGCCACCGCGACCGGCCAATTTCATTCTTTACTATGGCTGTGAAATAATTATTTATTGTGTCCTCCAGTTGCAAGGAGTTTAACAGCATGCCTGGCCGCTGCTCACTAGACGCTAGGAGCACCTCCTCAGTTGTGATAACTGAAACAACTCTAGACATTGCCAAATGTTCCTGGGGGTGGGATGGGAGGATCACCCACTCTTGAAAACCACTGGTCAAGATGTCCCACAGGAGATACTTGGCAAGACAATGCACAGGTCAGACCCCCATGACAAAGAACTATCTGACCCAAAATGTCAATAATCCCTGAAACTGAGAAACCCTAGTTTAGACTCTAGTTGAGAACTTATTCCTGGAACTAAGCCAGGTTTGGCTGTGTTTTCTCGTGGCCCAATAACGAGAAGCAGACAAACTAGGAAAGAAGGGAATTTGTTGCTGTCACCGGATACAGGGAAAGGGTCGGAGATAATTCCACCAGACCAACTCAAAGTGTTACAATTTTCTTTTTTTCTTTTTTTTGAGACGGAGTCTCGCTCTGTCGCCAGGCTAGAGTGTAGTGGTGCGATCTTGGCTCACCACAACCTCCGACTCCTGGGTTTAAATGATTCTCCTGCCTCAGGCTCCCGAGTAGCTGGGACTACAGACGCGTGCCACCACGCCCAGCTAATTTTTGTATTTTTAGTAGAGACAGGGTTTCACCATGTTGGCCAGGATGGTCTCGATCTCTTGACCTTGTGATCCACCCACCTCGGCCTCCCAAAGTGCTAGAATTACAGGTGTGAGCCACCACACCCGGCCAGTGTTACTATTTTCTTAGTGTTTATACAGGTTTAGGTTATATGCCTACATGCAGTATGGCATTCACCAAAGTCTATCAGTAACTAATTTTGTTTCAACTAGAGGGTCAGAGGCAAAAAAATTCTTGCTAAGTCTGATTAAGCTGTGAGGGCCCCAGTACCTTCAAGGCCTGTTTACTGTGGTACCAGAGTGATTATTTCTATCTTATCTCCTTTACAGCTTGGTGCGGAGAGCTGCCTTAGATTCTCCAATGAATCTATTCAAACAGCTGCCTCTGTTACCTTGACTTGTCTCAGATATCGTCGACCCGAGACGAGTCCTGGCACTAGGAATGTAAGGCTGTCTCTGTTATTTTGACTTGCTCCAGCAAGGGAGAAGCCCATGCAAGGCTCTTACTCACCATGTGTTTCATTTCTAGCTTTGATGTCTGTACACCAATTCCCCTAGGTTTAACTATTTGCTCAATGTTAAGGCAATGCTGTGGAAATCTGTCTGTGTAACTGGGGTGCTATGCAGGCCTGTCTGTGTGACTGTCAGGGAGAATTGGCCTGCCACAAACTGACCCTTGACCATTGGGTTTAGAAACTTGGAGGTCATTTGTGACTCTGACATGTGGTTTAAGTAAAGTGGTGGGGATGAGAGCCTGATTGAGAGAAATTCAAGAGTGAATGAGAGGTGAGAAAGTAGAGGCAGTGAGAAGTTTTGTTAAGTGGAGAGAGAAGTGGAACACTGAGGGAGTGAGCTGGGTCAGGGAAGAGTTTTTAAATTTAAAAATAAATGCATTATTTTATACATATAAAATTATAATTTATATGCATAAATATATATGTATTACAAAGAATAATTTTGTGAACATCAGGCAGCTTATGAAGTAAAATCTTCCCATCAGGGCAAGGTGGCTCACACCTGTAATCCCAGCACTTTGGGAGGCTGAGGTGGGCGGATCACCTGAGGTCAGGAGTTGGAGACCAGCCTGGCTAACATGGTGAAATCCTGTCTCTACTAAAACATTAGCCAGGTGTGGTGGTGCGTGCCTATAATCCCAGCTACTTGGGAGGCTGAGGCAGGAGAATCGCTTGAACCCGGGAGGCGGAGGTTGCAGTGAGCTGAGATCGTGCCATTGCACTCCAGCCTGGGTGACAGAGGGAGACTCCATCTCAAAAAAAAAAAAAAAAAAAAAGAAAGCAAAAACAAGAGGTAAAATCTTCCCCAGTATAGTTAAGGCTCCCTGAATTTCCCTTTCCAGATTGCTTTTCTGCCAAAGGGTAAGCACCATTCTCTGAATGTTGTGCTTTTACTACCTAGGTGAGTAGCGAAACAGTTTTTTTCTTTCTTTTCAGAGATGAAGTATAATTTTATAGCATGTTTGCATAATGATGGGAGTGTTGCAGTACAGAGGGGTAAACTGATTAAGTGAGAGAGAGAGAGATAGGGGATAATTTCAGGAATAACATCTCTGAGCAGGTGAGAGGGAACAGGATCCCGGGGTACAGATGAGGTGGCAGGTGGGTGCATGTCAGCTTCTCTGCGGTAGAGTTGCAGGTAGACTGGTGAATTTGGGGTGGGAACATGAGGAAGTTCCCTTCTGAAAGTTTCTGTTTTCTCACTGAAATAGGAAGAAAAGTCATCATCTTGTGAAGTTGTGGTCTCAGATTTGGGGAATGTGAACTGAGTAGGGAAAGGCGAGCTGGCATGCCACACTGAGGGCCCGCAGGAAGCAAGACCAGTCAGTATGACTGTGTGTTTCTCCCCAGCTGTTGAATGCAGGTGTGGAGCAGGCAGAGTGGGATTTGACCAGGGATAAAATGTGCCAGAGGAAGGGGGGCCAGGAGTACAGGGTGAGGGCTGAGAGGCGATTACCATGTTGAACCTTGGAATCTAAACTGGGTAATGAGGAAAGTGAAGAATTGAGATCAAACAATGAAAAGTAAGTTAGTGGATGGGAGGCCCAGATGGGGTTGAAGAATTTTTGGGATAGGGGTACTGGGGAGCAACATGAAAAGACTGAGGATGAGATTTTAGAAGGGCAGTAGGTATTGGTGGCAACCAAGTTGAAGGTATGACATAGGGCGAGAGGGAAGCAGGGAGAAATAAATCACTGCAAGAGAAGGGCAGGGTGCTAGAGAATCTGCATGAACATTGAAAACAAAAATAATAAAACGGGGCCAGGCACTGTAGCTCATGCCTATAATCCCGGCACTTTGGGAGGCTGAGGCAGGCAGATTGTGTGAATTCAGGAGTTCGAGACTGTCCTGGGCAACACAGTGTGACCTCATCTCTATTAAATATCAAAGGCCAGAGGCCAGGCGCAGTGGTTTATGCCTGTAATCCCAGCACTTTGGAAGGCCGAGGCGGGTGGATCACGAGGTCAAGAGTTTGAGACCAGCCTGACCAATATGGTGAAACCCCATTTCTACTAAAAATACAAAAAATTAGCCGGGCATGGTGGCACACGCCGGTAATCCGAGCTACTCAGGAGGCTGAGGCAGGAGAATCGCTTGAACCTGGGAGGCAGAGGTTGCAGTGAGCTGAGATGGCACCATTGCACTCCAGCTTGGGCAACAAGAGCAAAATTCCGTCCAAAAAAAACAAAAACAAACGAACAAAAAAACAGGCCAGGGGCGGTGCCTCAAGCCTGTAATCCTAGCACTTTGGGAGGGTGAGGAGGGCGGATCACCAGGTCAGGAGATTGAGACCATCCTGGCTAACACGGTGAAACCCCGTCTCTACTAAAAATACAAAAACAAAATTAACTGGGCATGGTGGCAGGTGCCTGTAGTCCCAGCTACTTGGGAGGCTGAGGTGGGAGGCGGGAGAATGGCATGAACCCGGGAGGCAGAGCTTGCAGTGAGCCGAGATCGCACCACTGCACTCCAGGCTAGGCGACAGGGTGAGACTCTGTCTCAAAAAAAAAAAAAAAAAAAACCCAAAATTTATCCGGGCGTGGTGGCAGGCGCCTGTAATCCTAGCTACTCAGAGGCTGAGGCAGAGAATTGCTTGAATCCAGGAGGCAAGGTTGCAGTGAGCTGAGATTGTGCCACTGCACTCCAGTCTGGGCGACAGAGCCAGACTCCATCTCAAAAAAAAAAATAAAATAAAAATAAAAAAAATTAGCTGGGAGGATCACTTGAGACCGGGAGATCGAAGCTCAGTGAGCTATGATCCTGCTGCTGCACTCCAGCCTGGGTGACAGAGCGAGACCCTGCCTCAGAAAAAAAAGAAAAAAGAAAAAGAGGCTGGGCTCGGTGGCTCACGTGTGTAATCCCAGCACTTTGGGAGGCCGAGGTAGGCAGATAACCTAAGATCAGGAGTTCAAGACCAGCCTGGCCAACATGGTGAAACCCTGTCTCTAGTAAAAATACAAAAATTAGCTGGGCGTGGTGGCAGATGCCTGTAATCACACCTACTAAGGCTGAGGCAGGAGAATCTATTGAACTCAGGAGGCGGAGGTTGCAGTGAGACGAGATTGCGCCACTGCACTCCAGCCTGGGCGAGAAGAGCAAAACTCCATCTCAAAAATAAATAAATAAATAATAAAAAGAAGAAAATGAAATGAGCGGTGGAAGTAGAGTGATCAGGTGCTGAATCTTCCATTGTAGAGGGGGAATGATGACCCAGAATCTAATCATGGTTTTCCCCCATCTGTATGAGAGCACCCATACAGATGTTATGGGAGGGCAGAGCCTCTCCTAGAGGATGGAGTCTCTGTCAGTAGAGGTGCCACAGCCAAGGGTATCACCTGCAGAGGGAGGTGAGTCAGATAGGAAGAGGATCACATTGTAACTTTTTTTTTTTTTTGAGACGGAGTCTCGCCCTGTTGCCCAGGCTGGAGTGCAGTGGCACAATCTCGGCTCACTGCAAGCTCTGCCTCCGGGATTCACACCATTCTCTTGCCTCAGCCTCCCAAGTGGCTGGGACTACAGGTGCCTGCCACCACACCCAGCTAATTTTTTGTATTTTTAGTGGAAATGGGGTTTCACCGTGTTAGCCAGGATGGTCCTGATCTCCTGACCTCGTGATCCGCCCATCTCGGCCTCCCAAAGTGCTAGGATTACAGGAGTGAGCCACCGCGCCCGGCCACACATTGTAACATTTTATTTCCTCATGAGGGAGGAGTCTGGGTGAGGTTAAGAGATCTGAGATTAAGAAACAAACATTCCTAAGGAAAAGCAAAAGAAAGCTAAGTCATTTTTTATTCATCTCTCCCTTTGCCTGATTCCTTTCAATTCAATTGAGTTCAAAGATTGGTAGAGGAGGTTTTATCTGATGAGGATCTGAAAAACAGAGATAAGCCAGATTTGACTCTTGCCTTCAAGTAGCTCACAAGGTAAACTGTGTATGTCAAGATATCAGGTGGGAAGAGATGAGAAAATATGCAGATAACATGAATCTTAGATCTAGATACTTTTCTCCTAAAGAAAATTGCCCGGGTTGAAGTCATTTTTTGGCCTTTCCATTCTCCCTGGGTGGTCCTTAAAGTGTCTGTAAACCTGTGATTCCCAACCTTGGCTGCCCTTTGGAATCACCTGGTTATGTCTTAAATACTGATGCCAGAGTTCCACCCCCAGAGATTCTTTTTTGTTTGTTTTGAGATAGGGTCTCACTCTGTTGCCCAGGCTGGAGCACCGTGTTCTGATCACTGAAGCCTCTGCCCCTCAGGCCCAAGCAATCCTCCCGTCTCACCCTCCCAAGTAGCTAAGACTACAGGTGAGCCATGGGGCTCGGCTAAATTTTTTTTTTCTTTTTCTTTTTGAGACTGAGTGCCTCTCTGCCACCCAGGCTGGAGTGCAGTGGTGCAATCTGGGCTCACTGCAACCTCCGCCTCCTAGGTTCAAGCGATTCTTCTGCCTCAGCCTCCTGAGTAGCTGGGATTACAGGCATGTGCCACCATACCCGGCTGATTTTTGCAGTTTTAGTGGAGACGGGGTTTCACCACGTTGGCCAGGCTGGTCTTGAACGCCTGACCTCAGGTGATCCACCCACCTCGGCCTCCCAAAGTGCTGAGATTATATGTGTGAGCCACCGCGCTCGGCCTAGGCTAATTTTTTTTTTTTTTTTTTTTTGAGACGGAGTCTCGCTCTGTTGCCCAGGCTGGAGTGCATGGCACGATCTCGGCTCACTGCAAGCTCCACCTCCCGGGTTCATGCCGTTCTCCTGCCTCAGCCTCCTGAGTAGCTGGGACTACAGGCACCTACCACCACACCCAGCTAATTTTTTTGTATTTTTAGTAGAGACGCGGTTTCACCATGTTAGCCAGGATGGTCTCGATCTGGCCTAGGCTAGTTTTTAAACTTTCTTGTAGAGATGGGGTCTCACCATATTGCCCAGGCTAGTCTCGAACTCCTGGGCTTAAACGATCCTCCTGCCTCGACTTCCCAGAGTGCTGAGATTACAGGTGTGAGCCACTGGCACTGAGCCCAGAGATTCTGATTTAATTGTTTTAGGATGCGACATGGGCTTTCAGATTTTTCAGTGCTCCCCAGTGGATTCTAATGTGTAACCTGGGGTAAGAACCGTTGCTCCAAGGAATGCCTGAAGCTCTGTTTGGAAACCCACTGCTTTAATCTAACCCAGAGGAAAGAGAGACACCTTTTTGCTACAGTGAGGGATGAATTGATCCGGACTTTGAAAGATATTGTAAATAAAATTTGACCAAGTAGAGAGGCAGATGTCAAGAGGGGGAGAACATCATGAGCAAGAGCCTAGATGTGGTCTAAAGCCTCTGAAATTTGTGACAAGCTGCAAACAATTTGGTTTATAATAGGCAGAGATTTGGGAAGGAGGTCTAAGATTTGGGAACAGCTGGGCAAATACCTGGAGGTGGGAATGATGAGTAATTCAGTATGGTTAGAAATTAGAATAAACAGAGAAGCTGGATGATTTTAAATTATGGAAGGTGTTAAAGGCCAGATTAAAATTTTGTAAATAATTGAGTAGGCAATAGGGAACCTTGAAGGGCTTTTGAGCAGTGGAGTTATGAAAGTGTGTTTAGGGAGGCTGATCTGACAATAGTGTGGAGGGAGACTTGAGGTAGGGAGAAGTAGGAAGTAGGGAGACCTGTTGGGAAAGCTGATGCAATAATCCTAATGAGGTAATTTTTCCAGCAAGGGCTGGGGAAAAATTACAGATTCAAAAGACATTGTGGTGGCAGAACTGACTAGGCTTGAGAGCACACCAAAAATAAGGCAGGAGGGAGAGGGAGGAGGCGGCAAATTTCTAGATAAGGAAGAGTGATTGGGAAAATGGTCTATTAACAGAGACAGGGAAGCAGGTTTTCTGTGGCATTTCATCAGTTTGTTTTGGAATGTGTTGATTTTAGAGGACCAGCAAGCATCTTCCATGTGGCTATGATCTTCAGGCACTGGAAAAAACGTCTGCATGTAAAATACAGGTTGGTAAAGCATTTGATTAGCTGAGTTGAGTGAATGAGCTTTTCAAAGGAAAGTCTCAGAGAAGGAAAAAAAATCAGAGATGGACACTTAGGGGAAGGGAGGAGAAAAAGCAAGGAGGGAAGGCAGAGGCGGAATGGTTAGAGGTCTGTGTGTGTGTCGGGGGAAGGGAGGTAATACGTTCTTGAACCTGGGTATGTGGGGAATTCAGGGTCAAGGGACAAACATGGGAGGGCTTAGAGAGGCAGAATACTGTGAAAATGCCATTGATTTGGGATCTGGGTAATTGGTTGCCATTTGAGAGGGAGGTTTCAGGAGAATAGGGTGTGGATGCATATTCCAATAAGTCAAGAAATAGTGGGTATGAAAAAAAGACAGATACAGACATATCTCTGATAGCAATATTCCGCACCCCCCTGCCCCTTTTTTTTTGAGATGGAGTTTCGCTCTTGTTGCCCAGGCTGGAGTGCAATGACTTGATCTTGGCTCACTGCAACCTCCGCCTCCCAAGTTCAAGCGATTCTCCTGCCTCAGCCTTCCAAGTAGCTGGGACTGCAGGTGCCCGTCACCATGCCCGGCTAATTTATTATTTTTAGTACAGATGGGGTTTCACCATGTTGGCCAGGCTGGTCCCGAACTCCTGACCTCAAGTGATCCGCCTGCCTTGGCCTCCCAAAGTGCTGGAATTACAGGTGTTAGCCACCGTGCCCAGCCGTGAATTCTGTTTTTCAAGAAGTTTGGTAAGGTAGGCACATTAAATG
The DNA here is from genome assembly GCF_000001405.40 of Homo sapiens. NCBI lineage: Eukaryota > Metazoa > Chordata > Mammalia > Primates > Hominidae > Homo > Homo sapiens. The sequence continues at coordinate 3,489,507 of NT_167247.2, forward strand.
CGAAACATCCAAGGGCGAACCCATGATATTCACACCTCACCCCACCCTCCTCCCACATCTCCTATCACATTTCCTATCTCAGTGCATGGCTTCCCTTCTAGATTGTAAGCTCCATGAGGTCAGGGGTCACACCTGCTGTCTGGGTGGATGTCTCACCAGCATCCAGCATGGAGTCTGCATGTTGCATAAATGCATAAATTAGGTTAGGACCCTGTCCTGTGGGTGTACAACCAAAGACCCAAGCCCACTGCTGGCAGCATCCCCTAATCACCACTCCCCTCAGAAAAGAGGCCTATTGGTTGACCTCAGGATAGGAGAGGGCAACTAGTCCCAGGGAGACTTGAGAGGCCATTGACCTCCTCCCTGGGCTCCCACAGCAATCTGCTCTCTTTGCCTTTCCTATACCCCCTACAGTCCAGCATGTGGGGCTCTAATCCAAGTTATCTGCCACCCTCCAGCCCACAGTCAGGAACAGCTATGGGCAGCTGGCATCTCTTCTTGGCCCCCATCACTCTATCCTTGACCAGCTTCTTCACCATGGTCTGCCCTCTCTGTTCTCTTGTCTTCCTGGAGTTCTGGGGATAGTAGGGAATGGAAAAGGGGTACTGGGGAAATAAAGCCTCACTAAGAAAATAAAGCCTCACTGAGAATGGACCCCAAGGTCTTCCTTGGTGGATTCCCAGGGAGCTCCCCTCCGTCCCCCATATTCACGTGTCTCTCTGGCGATCTGGGAATCTGTGTCCCTCACGTTAGTCTCTGTCGGGTTTTCTTTTTTTTTCCTTGGAAGAGGAGATGAAGGGAAGTGAAAGGCGGAATCAAAAGTGGGGAGGGTCTTTGCGGGGCCGCAGTCTTTGGAATTGCGGGCGATAAATCAACTAAGTCTCTTTAATATTGTCTTTCAGAAGTTCACACACACTCACACACAGATCAGAACAAGGCGGGGCCGCCGAGGGGAGCGGGGAGCGGGGACTTGGGAGGTCCATAGCCTGGATTCCCTTCTGCCCGGCTGCCCAGGGGCTGGGATGGGTGGAAGGGAGTATTTACAGAGCGTTTACAGGCAGGTTTCTTATCCCAGGGAGAAGGGTCCTACACCAGGAACTTCCCAAATGTCCTTAAAAAAAGCAAAAGGAAAGGTTCTGGGATTAGCAAGAAAATAGGCAGATACCTGGGTGGAGGAGGGACAAAAATGTACTTGCAAAAAACAGGAGTGTGGGGGCCTTACTACCCCAGGGCTCGGTCCTTTTGCCGGAAGAAAGGGAGGGGTCTGTCCGTCTGTGGGCGAGGCCTGGAGCCACAAACCCAATCACTGGACTGAATCACCCCGCGGAGAAGAAAAGAAGGCGGAGCCTGCCGACCTGGAGGCGGGGTTTTGTCAGAGCTGGGGCGGTGCTTATAGAGGAGGCGGGGTTTTAGGGACCAAACCGAGGTTGCTCGGTTGGGGGCGCTACACTTTGAGGGTGAGGGGGCCTGGAGCGACTGAGGGTCCGGCGTTTGGCCGGGATCCCGGAAAGCGGCGTCCCTGGGGGTGTGGGTTTTGGAGGGGTTCCTGAGGAACTGGATTCCGAGCTTGCTCGCAAGGCGAGACGTTCCGTGGAGGCGGAGTTTACGATGTATCCAAGTCTGACGGCCCCAGAAACGGGTGTGCAGGGCGCCCATTGGGTCCGCGGTATGACTGCAGAAAGAGCCTGGGAGATCGAGGGGCGCAGAGTGGGGCCGGACCAGGGGCGTTTTTAGGGATCCCAGTAGTTCTCGTGGTGCTGCGCGGCGATGATGATGACTACGGTGAGGATGGTACAGAGCACCATGGCCGCGATGCCCACGGCCAGGGAGATGAAGGAGAAGTTCCGGGCCTCGCGTGAAGCGATCTCGGCCGACACCATGTCTCCGCGGGCCAAGGCCGTGCGCACCTACGGAGGAGGGGTGGGGGAAGGAGGTCAAAGAGCTGCGGCCTCGTTCGAACGCCTCAGCCTTTCTCTAAGATGGTCCCCAGAACGCCCAGAACTCCCTGTCCCCGCCCCCAAACCGAGTATGCCCCTGCCCCCTACCTGCACGGCCTTGAAGATGGCAATGATGCCAGTAGGCCAGAAGCAACAGATGGTGGTCAGCACCGCGATGGGCATGTAGTCGTGTGGCGGGCGCCTCGGCTCCAGTAGGGCCAGCCCTGGGCCCTGGGGCGGCGGGGGGAGAGTGGAGGTCACTCCTGTTCCCCCCGGGGTCCCGCCTGCATATGGCTGTGGAAGGAAATTTGGGGGGCAGGGGCATCACTCTGACCCTCTCCCAGCCTACCAGCGTTGGGCGGCTGGCAGAGTGGCTTTAAAAGCACAATTTTTACCTATGGCTTCTCAAAATAAAGCACCCATTACCCTTCCAGGACACCCATAAATTCCACCTAAGCCCCTCTCCTCCCTTCCTTGCTTCATTAACCACCATATTCTTGGGCTTTCTACATTCTCTCCCGCAAGGTATGGTCCCACTGGGGCTGTCCTGGCCTCAGGTCAGACCTTCTTTCTTCCCTCCAGACACCTACCAGGCCTCCCCTACCCCCTTAGTCCCAGGCTTCTCCCACATCCCTCTTGGTTCCCAGCTTCCATTCCCCCCGTCCCCCGCCAGGCGGTTTCCTACTTTCAGACCTCCTCTGAACCTCTAGGCTCCGATCCCCCTCCCAGGCCCTGACTCTGGGCACCAGTAGACTCCTACTCCCGTGTCTCTCCCTAGTCCTTCCTGTCTCAGGCTCCCTTCTTTCTAGGGCTTGTCCCGGGAACACTACCTGTTCCCTGCCCTTGTTCCTCTATCCTACCAGCCCCCAGCGTATCCCCAATTTCAAGTCCTGTATCGCGTCCCCCTCTTTCCCATGTCCCTGTCTGCCCGGCACTCACCGTGCCCACCGGGTAGACCGGCACGTAAGCAGTGCAAGGCTGCAGCTGCAGGGGGTATCCGGGCGCTACGTAGCCCCCCAGCGGCAGCGTGCCCACAGTCCCCGCGTGCGTGGGCACCACGAAGCCAGGGGCCTGGGCAGTCTGGGCTGGCGCCGGCGGGGGCGGGGCGGCGGCAGCGGGCGGCGGCGGGGGAAGTGGGCCCTCGAAGCGAGTCTCCTGCAGGTAAGGGTCGGGTGGCATGCGGGGCAAGGTAGCGCAGCCGGGTGGGGGTGCCCCGGCAGCAGGGCCGGGAGGGGCGTGGTGGGGGGGCCTCGGCAGCGTGGCAGAGGAGGAGGGACCGCGCTGAGCGGTGGCCGCGGAAGAGGCCAGGCCCCCTGCCCCTAAGCGCGGGAGGGTGGCGGTGCCAGACTGATGGTAGTGGTGGTGGTGGTGATGGTGTGAGGAAGGGGCTGCCTGTGGCGGTGGGGCTGGGGGTTCGGCTGGAGGCTGAGGGGCATTGTAGGGCGGCGGAGAAGTGTGAGGGACTGAGTCTGGGAGTCCTGGGGGAGGTGAGTGGAGGAGAGTATAAGAGGAAAGATGACACAGTGATGAGTTGAGGAGGGGGTAAGGGGAAACACAGCCGGTCAGGGATGGAGAAAGATAATGGGAGAGACACATAGAGAGAGACGGGTGAGAAACCATCTCTAATTTGAGGGGCAAGAGAGGGGCTGTATCTAGGCCATCTGCCCCCCTCCTTCTTCCTTCCAATCTAGTTTTGAGGTCACAACTCTGGTCTGCTTCTTTTCTGTCTTTTTCATCACCATGCACCCAGCTCTCACCTGCAGACCTAATCCCCTCTCCTTTGCTATAGCTGCCTTTGGGCTGGCCTATCCGAGCTAGTCCTGTGTGTGCGTATGCGTAGACATGCAACCCTGTGTTAATATGTGCTCAATTCAACAGTTGTATAAACACATGTGGGATGACATGTGTTCCACTCTGCTGTTCCTTCAGTGGGGGGAGGAGTGCCCCAGCCTCTGTGAGAATCTCGGGACCTCTTTTAGGGCAGATTAAGAAGAGCCCTCTGGATTTTGCTCCCTTGACAACCCCCATCTGGTCATGTCTCCATATTTCCTCACAGGATGTCTCCATGCCAGCCAGTGATTGTCCATCTGTCACTCCCAATGATGCCATCCCTGCAAAACCTGGCTGTACCTCCTTCACCCTCTCAACCTACCCCCCTGACCATGTTGTTGGCAAGGGGCAGAGGCTGCCACTGGAAAGAGGAAAGGAAGAGAAAGGGGGAGACAGAAAGAGGAGGGGGACTGGGGGAGTGTTGAGAGCTGGAGAGAAGGGGAATGAAATAGAACCACAGCTGAGGAGGGGTAAGGGAGGGGGTTGGGGCAAGGGGGACGGAGAGTCTGGAGACAGTGGAGGGGGTGGGAGGTTTTGTTATTGTTTTTACCTGACTTTTCGGATGACATGCCTGCGGTCTCGCTGGGACAGGGTCCCTGCAGCCGGAGTGGGGGTCCTCGGCCGGTGCTGGAGTCTGGGTGCTGGATGGCGCAGCCGGCAGCAGCGCAGAGATGGAGAGATGAAGGCAGCGGCGGGGGGGGGGGGCGGGGGGGGCGGGCGGAGGGAGAGCGGGGAGGGGGGGAGCTTAAAGGGACCGAGGCGAGGGAGGGGGAGCGCTTCAGATGTTTCCCACTCGGTCTCTCTCTGCTCTCGGACCACCTCTCTCCTCCTCTTACCCCGGCATTCAAGCCCCCAGTTTGGGCTCCTTTGGAGTTGTCATGGAAACACGGAGGCTAGACCAGGCGAGGCGGGTGGGACTAAGGAAAGGAAGGAAGGAGAACTCTCTGGAGTCTCCCCCACCAAGACTCAGTGATTGTATTGTGGGAGGAAGTGAACAGGTTCTCAGTGGAGTTAATAACCCAGGTGCCTCCAGAGGCAGGTCGTCTCCCCCTCTTAGCTCCCTGCAAGGTGCCAGGGTCTTCTCCCAAATCCTTGGCCCCAGTTTCCTCCTCTTTAGAAGAGATAAATACTTGTGTGTGAGAGAGAATTGTGCAGAGTTCAGAACTGCGATGGTCTGAAAAGTTCCCAGGGTTTGGTGAACCTACCAACCTAGCAGTAAAGAGGGAGGCCCAGGTCTGTAAATCAGGGGGAGCTGGGCCTTGGAGGGAAAAGGGAGAGAGAGTTTGGGCGGTGTGCATACATACCTTCTTCGTCCAGGACTAAGGAGCTGAAGCTCTTTTGGAGGGGGTAGGGGGTATGACTTAACTGCTCATTTCTGGCAGCTCTGTTGGTAATGTGTGCTTGTTCCCCCACTTTCCCTTTGCTTTTGAGGCTGCTTAGAGTCTCTGGGCTGGTCAATGTTCAGATCCATTCCCTAAACCCCCCTACTCCCACCCACCACCTCCCACCAAGACGCATCTCCAGCTCCTGAGTCGACCTGCAGTACAGCGTTATTAGTCTTTTTATTTGCTTATTGCATCTTGGGAGCGCGTGGGTGGGTGAAGGGAGCGAGGATAGGAAGTCTATGGAGATTTACACCAGTTTTTTTTTTTTTTTAAACAAAAACACAGCCAGATAATCATTATTCTTCCCTTACGTCCCCCCAGCCCCCACCTGGGGCAGTCGCTCTCCCGGCTGCGTCCCTTTTCGTCCATGTCCTAGCAGAGACTACAGAGCAGTACAGAGGCTCTCGCTGAAACCAGTCCCAGGCTCCACAGAGTCAGATCACGGCTTCACACCAGTCGTTCTGGTCACTTAGGCGTTCGCGTGAGCGCTCAACCCCTTACCGCCACCTCATCGTCACTCTACACCATTCTGAGCGCAAAAATGTTTTGATTGAGACAAATTTAGACCAAGCAATGACCTTGTAAACAGAGAGAGGGGCTCAGACATGCTGAGAAATCCTTATCTCTAGAGAAACGTCTTTAAATGCTAAGTAAAAGCCCTAGCAAGTAAAAGCCCTGAGGCACTAGGGTGTCGGTTAGGGGTCACAGGCGGAGAGGTGGGGCGCCTGGGGGTTTCGGTAGGGAGCCACCCACAGATAACTCAGACAGCCAGATTCTGGGGGTCGTTCAGGTTGAAAGACTGGTCGAAATTACGCGGGCATGAGTCAGCGCATCCCTACGCGCCCTCCGCCCCTTGAGGGTGGGTCGCTTATAGGGAGGGGAGTAGAGTAGGGCAGGAGAAACTGGGCCAGGCTGCACTTAGCTCAAGGGGCCTCGAGGACTCTCTGCGTCTCTGGAGACAAGGGCACTACACGCACTTCAGAATGAAGAGTTGTAAGTCGCTGACCTGGGGCGGACTGGAGGGTGGGGTGGGGTGGGTGTTGAGGGGCACGCCCGGGCTGGCATCAGCCCTCCAGGCCACCCTGCCACTCACCCAGCACACGGCAAAATGCAGAGGACTACCTTTCCCTGGTCCGCCCCCTGGCCGCCCCTTGGGGAATGCAAACTTCGTGTTCTGCTGCGGAGCCAGACGCCTGTATTGGGAAGTGGGGAGAATCAAGGCGGGGAAATCGGACTTTTGGGTCGCTGGGGGCAACGAAGCCTGGAGAGGCCTTCTTTCCATTCCCAGAATATGTTTGCTGCTTTTTCCTCTCCCCACTGGCCTAAATGGATCGCTCCGCCTGTTTCCTCCCCAGCACCTAGGGCGCAATGGAATATTCCATTGCCCCTCCTGTCCTGGGTCTGTGTTGCGGGGAACGCTCGCGCGGTTGCCAGAGAAAGCCCCGGACGTGACGGATTTGCGCGACCCCAAGCAGCCCGCCCTTCCCCCTCCCATCCGTCATTCCCCTGCGCTCTCTTTCCTCACCCTTCCCCCCGCCACCGTGGGTTCCAGACTTGGGATAAGTAAACAGCGGGTGGAGCGAGGCCTACGGACCCAGGCCAGGTGGGAGTCTGCACTCTTCAAGGGGCCTGGGCTGCTGCTCACGGGTATTAAAGAACTCCGCGTTGTTCATGGCTGAGGCGATGCATTAGGAAGATCCTGGACCTAGAGAACAAGTCCCCCGAACGCTGAGTTGGAGGCGGGACTTCGGGTGCGCGTTGGTGCGTCAACGTGGTGGGGGGGTGTGTTTGTAGGGAGAGGGCTGGAGTAAGTTAAAAGTAGGCTATTTTGTGACACGGACCTGGTGTGGGAGCGAGAGGAGGTGGCTTGATTGCCGGGCGTCTGTTCCGAGGGAGGAGGGTGTTGCCATCTCCCTCACATGCCCTTATCACCCCTTTCTCAGGCGGGAGCATGCTGGGGCTCTGGGGGCAGCGGCTCCCCGCGGCGTGGGTCCTGCTTCTGTTGCCTTTCCTGCCGCTGCTGCTGCTTGCAGCCCCCGCGCCCCACCGCGCGTCCTACAAGCCGGTCATCGTGGTGCATGGGCTCTTCGACAGCTCGTACAGCTTCCGCCACCTGCTGGAATACATCAATGAGGTCTGGCAGGGGACACCTGGGTGCAGGGCGTTAGAGGCGTCTACTGTGGCAGGGGAGGGAGAGCGGGGAACTGAAAGCCACCCCTCTGGGCCTGCCCAGTTCCTCAGGGAGCTGGTGCTGGCGTGGGGGAGAGTTGGGGGACGGGATCCCTGGTTCTAGCAGGGTACAATAGACCTGTGGACGCGGGCCAGGGGGTGGCGTGTGGGAGCTTCTTAGCCTATCCCCGGTGGCTGCATTGCCCCCTTCCCACAGACACACCCCGGGACTGTGGTGACAGTGCTCGATCTCTTCGATGGGAGAGAGAGCTTGCGACCCCTGTGGGAACAGGTGCAAGGGTTCCGAGAGGCTGTGGTCCCCATCATGGCAAAGGCCCCTCAAGGGGTGCATCTCATCTGCTACTCGCAGGGTAGGCGACTCCCCTGCCCCTAACTCCTAAGCCCTATCTGAGGCTTGATCCTTATCTGAGGGACACTTCCTAGCGTCCCTTTTTCTGAACCACATTGCTCCAGGCACAACCCTGGTACCTGAGCCCTTCCTTTCTGACTTCCCTCAGCACCTGGGTCTCATCTCTGTCTTGAATGGGAGGGAGGCTCCCTACACTGCTGCCCTTTTGCTTCCTGTTACCCATGGTTCTTGGACATAAGGGCTAATGGGGCAGGTAAAAACATCCTAGAACTAGAGGCAGGAGGCCCAGCATCTAATTCGGGCTCAGTCACTTATATGATGTGTGACCTTTTGGCACAGGGTGTGCCTGCCTTCTGTAAGCCTCAGTCTCCTTTGTGTACAGTGTGTGTCTGTGTGTGTCTCTGTGTGTGTGTGTGTGTGTGTGTGTGTGTGTGTGTGTGGTGGGGGTGGGGGGTGCTGCTGGCTTTGCTGTCCTTAAGTGCCTGCCCAATGTGGTGTTCTGCTTACAGGGGGCCTTGTGTGCCGGGCTCTGCTTTCTGTCATGGATGATCACAACGTGGATTCTTTCATCTCCCTCTCCTCTCCACAGATGGGACAGTATGGAGGTGAGTGGGCACTAGACTCCATAGAATGCCCTGAGTTTTGGGGGAACAGAGGTTTATGGTCACTTAGCATTGCCATTCGCTTGCCAGACACGGACTACTTGAAGTGGCTGTTCCCCACCTCCATGCGGTCTAACCTCTATCGGATCTGCTATAGCCCCTGGGGCCAGGAATTCTCCATCTGCAACTACTGGCATGGTGAGTGGGGATGCTGAACTGGGGCTTCCATGGATCAGGTCAGTTGCTTCCACCTCTGCTACAACCAATAGCAGTGATGACAATAAAGATAACTTACATTTATTGAGTTATTTGAACAGGCTCTGTTCAGAATTTTTTTTTTTTTTGAGACGGAGTCTTGTTCTGTTGCCCAGGCTGGAGTGCAGTGCACCATCTCGGCTCACTGCAACCTCCGCCTCCCAGGTTCAAGTGATCCTCCTGCCTCAGTCCCCCTAGTAGCTGGGATTACAGGCAGGCGCCATCATGCCCGGCTAAGTTTTGTATTTTAAGTAGAGATGGAGTTTCGCCATGTTGGCCAGGCTGGTCTCGAACTCCTGACCTCAGGTGATCCACTCGCCTCGGCCTCCCAAAGTGCTGGGATTACAGGTGTGAACCATTGCACCTGGCCCAGAATGTTTTAAGTGTGTCACCTTATTGCCTTAGAAGGTTTAGTCTGATGTGGGAGTCAGCAAACCTTGTCTATAAAGGGCCAGAGAGTAAATATTTTTGACTTTGTAGGACATATAGTCTGTTTCACAACTCCTCAATTCTGCTGTTGTAGTGTGAAAGCAGCCATGTACCATATGTGAATGAATGTGCCTGTGTTCCAGTAAAACTTCATTTACAAAAACAAGTAGCAGGCTGGATTTTGTCCTTTGGTCACAGTTTGCCAACCTCTAGACCAGACCATGGGGCCAGAATACTTGGGTTTGAATCTTGACCCTATTGGGTGCCTTTGGGCAAGTTACTTAACCATTCTGTTACTCAGTTTTCCTTATCTGTAAAATATTATAGCATGTACTTCACCAGGTGGTTGTAAGGATTAAATAAATAAATGAATGCAATGTACTTTGAATAGTACCTGGCTCATATAGTAGATACTAGATAGAAGTACTTGCTATTGCCAGGTGTGGTGGCTCACACCTGTAATCCCAATATCTTGGCAGGGGGAGGTGGGCGCATCACCTGAGGTCGGGTTCGAGACCAGCCTGGCCAACATGGTGAAACCCCATCTCTACTAAAAATACAAAAAAAATTTAGCTGAATGTGGGCACACGCTTGTAATCCCAGCTACTCAGGATGCTGAGTCAGGAGAATTGCTTGAACCCGGGAGGCAGATGTTGCAGTGAGCGGAGATCCTGCCACTGCACTTCAGCCTGGGTGACGGAGTGAGATTTCATCTAAAAAAAAAAAAGTACTTGTTACTATGTTTACGGTTGTTATCACTACTATTATTATTTTGAGATGGAGTCTCACTGTGTCTCCCAGGATGGAGTGCAGTGGTGCAGTCTCGGCTCACTGTAACCTCCACCTCCTGGGTTCAAGTGATTCCAGCGCCCCGAGTAACTGGGATTACAGGCATGCACCACCACGCCTGGCTAACTTTTGTATTTTTAGTAGAGACAGGGTTTCGCCATGTTAGCCAGGCTGGTCTCAAACTCCCGACTTCAAGTGATCCACCTGCCTCTACCTCCCAAAGTGCTGGGATTACAGGTGTGAGCCACCGCACCTGGCCTACATTATCACTACTATTTTATTACTATCCACCTTGACTATTGCTGCAGCTTCCTTATTGGGCTTTTCACCACCAGTCTTGCCTCCCTTTTCTGCTTCTTTTTCTAACTGCTGTTTGTACCCAGATCCCCACCACGATGACTTGTACCTCAATGCCAGCAGCTTCCTGGCCCTGATCAATGGGGAAAGAGACCATCCCAATGCCACAGGTGAGAATTCAGGCTCCTACCTGTGTTGCTTTTTCTGCTTCTTTGACTCCCTATGTCTCCCTCTCCAACCTGGCCTGACCCCTGTGGCTGACTCAGCCTCTCTTCTTCCCATCCTACAGTATGGCGGAAGAACTTTCTGCGTGTGGGCCACCTGGTGCTGATTGGGGGCCCTGATGATGGTGTTATTACTCCCTGGCAGTCCAGGTAATAAGGGATTTTGTGGCCTGAAGATTGGCTAAAGACATCCCCCAACCCCAGTTGGTCTTTATCTCATGCCTAAACTGGCCTGCTCCTTCCACTGTTCAGTTAGTGCTCCTCCCCCCATTCATCATGTCACCCAAGACCAAAACCTGGGAGTCATATCCCAACCCCTTGTATCAAGCCAGTCACTAAGTCCTGCTGACTCTTCTCCTCTCCATCCCTATCACCCCCTCCCCCACTTTATAAAAACTTTTAATTTTGAAATTCTTATAGATTCATAGGAAATTGCAAAGATAGTATAGCGAGGCCCTTCACCCAGCTTCCCCCAGTGGTTGCATCCTATGTAATTATAGCACAGTATCAAAACCAGGAAATTCACATTGGTTCAATGTGTGTGTGTAGTTTTATACCATTTTATCACATTTCCTACCACCTCTTTACTTACCTGGACTATTATAACAGCCTCCAGCTTTGTCCCCTCCATCCTATTCCTTAGAAAAAAATCCATGGCTCCATGGTACTATGTGCTTGCCTGTGTTATAGGTCACCATGTGTGATCTGTAATGTCACCTGAGCTACTTGAATTGCTCAACAAATATTTATTCAACATTATGGGCGCAGGCTTGTTCTGGGCCCTAGGGATGCAGTGGTAAATAAAAGAGAAGTCCCTAATGTTATGTAGCTTATATTCTAGTTTGTAAGATAGCTGATACATACATACAAATATATATGTCAGGTAATAAGGCAGGGGAAAGGATTAGAGGATGTCCGGGGCCTAGTTTCAATAGTGGCCGAAGAAGTCCTCCTGGAAAAGTCACCATTCAATTAGAGACTGAAGGAAGTGAAGGAGGGAGTTGTGCTCTGGGTGGAAGAACCCCCCAGGGAGAAGGTCTGGCACCTGCAGAGGCCCTGAAGCACGTGTGAGCAATAAGGAGGCCAGCATGGCTAGTGCACAAGGAGCTGGGGAGAGGACAGGAGAGGAGCTAAAAGTGGTAGCAGGGGACCAGGCATGTCAAACCTTAGCAGGTCAAGGTAAGGCCCTTGATATTTTTTTTTCTTTTTTTTGTGATAAAATATACATAACATAAAATTGCCATTTTAACCATTTAAAAATGTACAGTTTTGTGGCATTAAGTATACTCACATCATTGTAAAACCATCACCCATCAGCACCATCCATCTCCAGAACTTCTTTTTCCCCAAACTGAAACCGTATACCCATTAAAAAATAGACTGGGTGTGGTGGCTCACGCCTGTAATCCCAGCACTTTGGGAGGCCGAGGCAGTGGATCACCTGAGGTCGGGAGTTCGAGACTAGCCCGACCAACATGGAGAAACCCTGTCTGTACTAAAAATACAAAACTAGCTGGGTGTGGTGATGCATGCATGTAATCCCAGCTACTTGGGAGGCTGAGGCAGGAGAATCGCTTGAACCTGGGAGGCAGAGGTTGCAGTGAGCTGAGATTGCGCCATTGCACTCCAGCCTGGGCAACAAGAGCGAAACTCCATCTCAAAAAAAAAAAAAAAAAAAAAAAAAAAAATATATATATATATCCTCATCCCTATTTCCCGACAGTCCCGGTAACCAGGCTTTTGATTTTTTTTTTTAAATTCTGAGTGAGATGGGAAGGCACTGGACAGTTTTCAGTGAAGGCAGGACATCTCTTAAAATATTGTAATAATATAATAGTAAGTGATGAGTTTTATGTACATCATGTCATTTCACATCTACCACAACCCTATGAATGACAGTGATAGCTCATGGTTATATAACATTTTTAATGTTCCAAGTCACTGTTTCTTCCTTTTTTTTTTTTTTGAGACAGAGTTTTGTTCTTGTCGCCCAGGCTAGAGTGTAATAGCACAATCTCGGCTCACTGCAACCTCCGCCTCCTGGGTTCAAGCCATTCTCCTGCCTCACCTCCCAAGTGGCTGGGACTACAGGTGCCCACCACCATGCCTGGCTAATTTTTAGTATTTCTGGTAGAGACGGGGTTTCACTGTGTTAGCCAGGATGGTCTCGATCTCCTGACCTTGTGATCCGCCTGCTTCGGCCTCCCAAAGTGTTGGGATTACAGGCGTGAGCCACTGCGCCTGGCCAATATATATCTCTCTCTATATATAGATAGATATATATTTTTTGAGTTGGAGTCTTCGCTCGGTCGCCCAGGCTGGAGTGCAGTGGCGTGATCTCGGCTCACTGCAAGCTCTGCCTCCCAGGTTCACGCCATTCTCCTGCCTCAGCCTCCTGAGTCGCTGGGACTACAGGCACCCGCCACCACGCCCGGCTAATTTTTTTGTATTTTTAGTAGAGACGGGGTTTCACTGTGTTAGCCAGGATGGTTTCGATCTCCTGACCTCGTGATCCACCCGCCTCGGCCTCCCAAAGTGCTAGGATTATAGGCGTGAGCCCACGCACCCGGCCTTGCCTGGCCAATATTTTTTAATTAAAAGATTTTAACTCCATCTGGCTGGGTGCGGTGGCTCACGCCTATAATCCCAGCACTTTGGGAAGCCGAGGCGGGTGGATCACCTGAGGTCAGGAGTTCGAGAACAGCTGGCTAACATTGAGAAACCCCATCTCTACTAAAAATACAAAAATTAGTGGGCCTGGTGGCGCACGCCTGTAGTTCCAGCTACTCAGGAGGCTGAGGCAGGAGAACTTGAAACCAGGAGGCGGAGGTTGCAATGAGCCGATAGGGTGCCACTGCACTCCAGCCTGGGTGACAGAGCAAGGCTCTGTCTCAAAAAAAAAAGAAAAAAAGGATTTTAAGACCTTTCTATTTTGAAATAATTTCATACTTAAGAAAAGTTTGCGCCTGTAATCCTAGCACTTTGGGAGGCCGAGGCATGAGCCCAGGGGTTTGAGACCAGCCTGGGCAACATGGCAAAACCCTGTCTTTACCTAAAATACAAAAATTAGCTGGGCGTGGTGGTGTGCCCTTGTAGTCCCAGCTACTTGGGAGGCTGAGGTACGAGAATTGCTTGAGCCTAGGAGGCCAAGGCTGCAGTGAGCCGAGATCTCACCATTGCACTCCTGCCTGGGTGACAGAGTAAGACCCTGTCTCAAAAAAAAAAAAAAAAGTTACCAAAATAGCAAAAAGCAGTCATTTATACTCCTCACCTAGATTTCGCAAATGTTAACATTTTGTCATGTTTACATTAATATCTTTTTTCTCTAAATATATATACATTTATTTATATACGTTAATGTTATATTTAAATATAAACATAGATTCAAATTTTCCTGAATATGCGCTCACAGATTATTCAAATTTTTCCAACTGTCCTTACAGAAAAAAATATACAGTGGAAGATCCAAATCAGGATCTTGAGTTGCATGATCTTGTTACGTCTCTTTAGTATCTTTTTGTTTGTTTGTTTGTTTGAGTTGGAGTTTCACTCTTGTTGCCCAGGCTGGAGTGCAATGGCAAATCTCGGCCCACTGCAACCTCCGCCTGCCAGGTTCAAGTGATTCTCCTGTCTTAGCCTCCTGAGTAGCTGGGATTATAGGCGCCCACCACCATGCCCAACTAATTTTGTATTTTTAGTAGAGACGGGGTTTCTCCATGTTGGCCAGGCTGGTCTTGAACTCCTGACCTCAGGTGATCCACCCTCCTTGGTCTCCCAAAGTGCTGGGATTACAGGCATGAGCCACCACACCTGGCCTCTTTTTTTTTTTTTTTTGAGACAAAGTCTCACTCTGTCGCCAGGCTGGAGTGCAGTGGCGCCATCCCGGCTCACTGCAACCTTTGCGTCCCAGAATCAAGCAATTCTCCTGCCTCTGCCTCCTGAGTAGCTGGGATTACAGGCGCCCACCACGCCCAGCTAATTTTGTATTTTTAGTAGAGACAGGGTTTCTCCGTGTTGGCCAGGCTGGTCTCGAATTCCTGACCTCAGATGATCCACCCTCCTCGGCCTCCCAAAGTGCTGGGATTACAGGCTTGAGCCACCACGCCCAGCTAATTTTGTATTTTTAGTAGAGATGGGGTTTCACCACGTTGGCCAGGCTGGTCTTGAACTCCCGACCTCAGGTGATCCGCCGGCCTTGGCCTCCCAAAGTGCTGGGATTACAGGTGTGAGCCACCTCGCCCGGCCAGTAATGCATTTTTGATGGGGTTTCTACAGAAGTGAGGTCGTATCTTCAGTGTATCACCTCATGAAGTACATTATATCCAGTAAGGTAGTTTTGAGTGTCCTCCCTGCTACCTGTCTCCCCAGTAGGCCTTGGGTTCCTTTGGGACCTTAGCCCACCTTGATTTCTTCCTTTCTTTTTTCCTTTTCTTTTTTCTTTCCTTTTTCCTTTCCTTTCCTTTTTGAGATGGGGTCCCGCTCTGTCACCCAGGCTGAAGTGCAGTGGTGCGATCTCGACTCAATGCAACCTCCACCTCCCGGGTTCAAGTAATTATCCTGCCTCAGCCTCTTGGGTAGCTGGGCTTGCAGGCATCTGCCACCATGCCCAGCTAATTTTTGTATTTTTAGTAGAGATGGGGTTTCACCATTTTGGTCAGGCTGGTCTTGAACTCCTGGCCTCAGGTGATTTGCCCTCCTTGGCCTCCCAAAGTGCTGCAATTACAGGCGTGTGCCACTGCGCCCGGCCAGATTTTCTCCAGCTCTTCTGATAACCTCCCCCCAAATCTCTTTGTAGCTTCTTTGGTTTCTATGATGCAAATGAGACCGTCCTGGAGATGGAGGAGCAACTGGTGAGCCCCCTGGGATTACTTCCCCTTCTAGCCGCTGTCCCACCTTATTCCAGAGCCCTCTCTGTGACTCCTGAGCTGAAGGGTTCACCCTGTGGGGAGGAGGTCCAGGATCCCAGCAGTAACTCACTTTGTCTCTCCTTGTGTCTCTCTTCCATGCTTCCACGCCCCTTCGACCACCTTGAAGGTTTATCTGCGGGATTCTTTTGGGTTGAAGACTCTATTGGCCCGGGGGGCCATAGTGAGGTGTCCAATGGCCGGTATCTCCCACACAGCCTGGCACTCCAACCGTACCCTTTATGAGACCTGCATTGAACCTTGGCTCTCCTGAGGATATATTCAGGGGTCCCCAGGAACTCCTCGGTCCAGAGACCAAGTGGTGGCCTTGGAAAGCAGATGTCAGGCTTTGGTGTGCCTGTGACCACCTCATTGCTCCCATATTATCCCCCATTTTTAGTAGAGACGGGGTTTTAGTAGAGACTTGGCCTCCCAGAACCCCCTTCCTCTGCTCCTCCATGAATGACAATTCCAGGCCTCCCCTACCTCATGTCCTCTCATTTGGGGGATTGCTCCGTGCTGTCCCTTTCTCTCAAGGCCGAAGTTGGGAAGTGAGAAACCATGTTTTTAACTTGTGGCTGCTTTTGCTGCTGCTGCTCCTCCGTATCTGGCTGTATGGGTGGAGAACCCACCCCCTGCCCACCACAGGGGTCTCCTTCCAGGCCACTCAGGACATTTTTAGCTTCTCTCCTCCCCATGTTCCCTTTTTTCTCTAAAGTCCCCTGACATCAGCCCTCCCAACTCCTAAGAGGGACTACCCATGAGAGTGGGGTTCTGAGGCTCCCCTATGGGGACAGTTCCGTTCTTGAAGTGTCAGTGTTGGGGAATATCTGTGGCCTATGAGGCCCATCTCAGGTTTGGGGATCCCCCAGTCCCTATGATCAGTGTTGGAGTACCCCCCTGGGAGAGCCTAGTTTCTTTGAGGCCCCAGGCCCTCTTTTAACTACCTTTGAATAGGTGTTATCCCTGTATTTATGGAAATAAAGTTCCATTTCCTCAGTGTGACTTGGCTCATTTCCAGGTGGAGGGGACCTGGCTCCCCAAGGAGGGTGGGGGCGGAGCCTGAGGCCTGGGTGCCCAGATGCCTGGTCTAGGGTGGGGACCCCCTTGGTGTTTCCGCTCTCTCTCAATGCCCATTCTTTGTGGGTTCCTGGTTCTCTGCGGGTTCTTTCCTGCTGAAGACAATTCTCTTCCTCTCCCAGTCCCCAAGACTGGGGGGTTAAGCTCAGGGCTCCAGTGGTTTGGGCCTCAGCCTCATGGGTGGAATGCGCCTGCCACCCCCAGGCTAGACGAGGGGGCAGAGGGTCAGGGTGGGCATTCGTTGTGCCGCTTTTGAGCTTTGTGGGCCAGAGCTGGGTGTAGGGCTGGACAATGAGCCTCCTCTTCCTTGAAAGAAGGAATTTTGGCTGAGACAATAGGGCCCTGTCTGTTCTGGCATGGGGGGTGGTGGCTGACTCAATTCTGTTCCCCCTAAGCCCTAACAAATGTCATGAAGAGAGGGGGGCAGTTTTCCCCTTGGTGCCCTGGGCTGCCCCCCTGCCCCTTTGTGACGACTTGCCCTTCTAGCTTTCCTCAGCTGATCTTGCTTTTTCTCCCATAACCTGAACTGCTTTGTTCCCTGCAGCTGGTTCTCTCCCTGCCCCCTAACTCTCCCCTAGTCTGTTTTGGGTTCAAGGGGGTACTGGTGGTGTTACAGAGCTCATAGCTTCTGATCTGGGGAGTCCAGAAATAGGGGCCTCAGAGGGTTGGAAAGATACTTCTAGGGAGCCCTTTGCTGGGGTGGGGATGAGGGTAGTGGGACTTGACCCTACTGAGCTGACCCTGCTGGAGCTAAGGAGGAGGCTTGTGGGAGGGGGCAGGAATGGGAGGACTCTCTGGCCCAGCCCCTCCTCTCCTTCTTAGCCTGCCAGGCCCACCCACCAGTCTGAGCTGCTTCTGCTGAGGCTGGTCTGCTTGAAGCCTCCCAGGAGAAAGAAGCCAGGTGGGAATGGAGAGAGAGAGGAAGGCAAGTGGGGAGAGAATTTCAAATGGGGAAAGAGTGGGGTTTACTCAGAGCCTTAGGGTGGGCATGAGTTGCGGGGTGTTTTGTTGGAGCAAGGGATGTGCATTTAGGGCGTTATGTGACGGTGTGGGTATATGAGGGGAGTAGCAGTGTGTGAAAGGTGTGGAGTTTCCAGGTGCTTGGTTTGTGTGTACGGTGTGAAGGTATATAGCTAGGGGTTTTTTTTGTTTGTTTGTTTTGTTTGTTTTTTTGAGACGGAGTCTTGCTCTGTCGCCCAGGCTAGAGTGCAGTGGCATGATCTTGGTTCACTGCAACCTCTGCCTCCAGGGTTCAAGGGATTCTCCTGCCTCAGCTTCCCGAGTAGCTGGGATTACAGGCGTCCACCACTGCGCCTGGCTAATTTTTTGTATTTTTTAGTAGAGATGGGGTTTCACCATCTTGGCCAGGCTGGTCTCGAACTCCTGACCTCATGATCCACCCACCTCAGCCTCCCAAAGTGCTGGGATTACAGGTGTGAGCCACCGCGCCCAACCAGCTAGGGTTTTGAAGGTATGAAGTTATAAGAGGGCATGTTAAAGACAGGAGGGTTGGCCAGGCATGGTGGCTCACACCTGTAATCCCAGCACTTTGGGAGGCCAAGGCAGGCGGATCACCTGAAGTCGGGAGTTCGAGACCAGCCTGACCAACATGGAGAAACCCCGTCTCTACTAAAAATACAAAACAAAATTAGCCGGGCGTGGTGGCAGGCGCCTGTAGTCCCAGCTACTCGGGAGGCTGAGGCAGGAGAATGGCATGAACCCGGGAGGCGGAGCTTGCAGCAAGCCGAGATCGCACCACTGCACTCCAGCCAGGGTGACAGCGAGACTCCGTCTCAAAAAACAACAACAACAAAAAAACCAAAAAAAAAAAACCCTAGCTATATACCCTCACACCCTACAAAACAAAACAAAACAAAATTAGCCAGGCGTGGTGGCGCATGCCTGTAATCCCAGCTATTTGGGAGGCTGAGGCAGGAGAATCACTTGAACCTGGGGGGCGGAGGTCGTGCGGTGAGGCAAGAACATGCCATTGCATTCCAGCCTGGGTAGTAAGAGCGAAACTCCTTCTCAAAAACAAAAACAAAAAAAAACCCAAAAAAAGACAGGAGGGTCATAAGGGGAGGGTTGACTGTGTGTCCCTCCAGGTTGTGCAGAGGGGATTAGAAGTAAGTAGGTTAGAGGGGAGGTGGAGGGAGTGTGCTGGGGTGTGAGCTTTTATGATGCTGAAAGGATCATGATATGCTAAGGACAGGATAGTGTTGGGTTGTACACACAGGTGTAGGCAATCCTGGTGGCTAGTATGTAAAAGTGAATGTCCTGACTCCCTTAGAGGGTACCTGCAGAGTGCCCTTGGAGGGACTAGTGCTGGAGAAATTAATAGGAGAGGGGACGGGCATCCATTAACCTTTTCTTGCCTGCAGCCTGTAGGGTCCAGCGTCAAAGCGAATCATGGGGTCCAGGGCTGAGCTGTGCACTCTCTTAGGCGGATTCTCCTTCCTCCTGCTACTGATACCAGGCGAGGGGGCCAAGGGTGGATCCCTCAGAGAGAGGTGACAACAGAGGGGGTAGGGCCCGGGGTGAGCTCTTCTCAGGAGCCTTCTGCTGGGGGTGGGGCTTCACAGGAGGCAAAACATAACTGTAAGTTTAGAATGGGGGTGAGAGGCTGTCATCTGGAGGGAGAGCGGGGGGCCTCAGTAGCCTCTTGAGGGAAGTGGGACTCCTGGCTCCCCAGGGCCTGGCCTACTCAATCTCTCCCACCTCATCCTCTGGCATGGACGCAGTCAGGGAGTCTGCTCCAAGCAGACACTGGTGGTCCCGCTCCACTACAACGAGTCCTACAGCCAACCAGTGTACAAGCCCTACCTGACCTTGTGCGCTGGGAGGCGCATCTGCAGCACTTACAGGTGAGGGATGGGGAGATGGGACCCCAAGAACCCCAACTAGGACCCGTACTCAGGGTCCTGAGCCGGGCGCTGTGTTCCAGGACCATGTACCGCGTTATGTGGCGGGAGGTGAGGCGGGAGGTTCAGCAGACCCATGCAGTGTGCTGCCAGGGCTGGAAGAAGCGGCACCCGGGGGCGCTCACCTGTGAAGGTGAGGCTGGGTCTTCCGGGCCTTGCGGGAGGCGCGCCCCACGGAGCTGGGGAGCTGGGTCGTCGGTTTGAGTCTGAACCCCACTTCCTCTGTCCTCAGCCATCTGCGCCAAGCCTTGCCTGAACGGAGGCGTCTGCGTTAGGCCTGACCAGTGCGAGTGCGCCCCCGGCTGGGGAGGGAAGCACTGTCATGTGGGTGAGTCAGCTTGTCCTCCCCACCTACCCAGGTGCTTGCCCCCGCCCCCTCTCTCAGCCCCTTCCTTTTTTCGGTAACTAGACGTGGATGAATGTAGGACCAGCATCACCCTCTGCTCGCACCATTGTTTTAATACGGCAGGCAGCTTCACCTGCGGCTGCCCCCATGACCTAGTGCTAGGCGTGGACGGGCGCACCTGCATGGAGGGGTCCCCAGAGCCCCCAACCAGTGCCAGCATACTCAGCGTGGCCGGTGAGTGGGCAGGAGTACGGGCCACCCGAGGGACTCGGGACGGGCGTCCGGGCTCGGGTAGTGGTCACACTCTTGGTCTCCTTTGTCCCTAGTTCGGGAGGCAGAAAAAGATGAGCGCGCTCTGAAGCAGGAGATTCACGAGCTGCGAGGGCGCCTGGAGCGGCTGGAGCAGGTGAGCCAAGCCTGCTGGGTGGGGCGAGGCCAGACGTCACTGTCAATACCCTGAGGCATCTCTTCCTTTCTAGTGGGCCGGTCAGGCTGGGGCCTGGGTCAGAGCGGTGCTGCCCGTGCCGCCTGAAGAGCTGCAGCCAGAACAGGTGGCTGAGCTGTGGGGCCGGGGTGACCGGATCGAATCTCTCAGCGACCAGGTGCTGCTGCTGGAGGAGAGGCTAGGTGCCTGTGAGTCCTCACACTCCTCCCGCCTTGACTTCTATTCCCCAACTTTCCCCAAGACCCCTCTCCATTCAGGCATTCCCTCTTTCCTCCAAGCCCCTCTCCAACATTCACTATCCTCATGCCTCTCCACTTTACCATCGTTCTCTTCTGAAATCCTGTCCCCAGCCCAACAGTTTCACTTATTGTTTGGTGAGAGTGGCAGTGTAGTCCACTCCAGGCTGACCACAGCCACTGTGTCTGCCATGTCATTAACCAGGCTCCTGTGAGGACAACAGCCTGGGCCTCGGCGTCAATCATCGATAAGAAGCCTCTACAGCACCCCTGCCCCCTAATTTATACAGAAACCGGACCCACTAATCCTCTGGGATTGGCCGACTGTGAGCTGCAGATAAGGCTATCAGCCACCAAAGAGCAATGAACAATGGAAACTTCAGAGAGCTGAAGAAAGGGGGAGGCCTGTGTTCTTGGCCTGCCCCTGAGTCTTCTGGCTGGGGG
This sequence comes from Homo sapiens, assembly GCF_000001405.40. Classification (NCBI taxonomy): domain Eukaryota; kingdom Metazoa; phylum Chordata; class Mammalia; order Primates; family Hominidae; genus Homo; species Homo sapiens. The sequence goes on from NT_167247.2 coordinate 3,510,170, forward strand.
CAGGTTGCCTGGGCAAGAACTGCTTCTTCAATTCCTTAACAAATGCAACCACCAACACCCAGATCTCTCTCTCTCTTTATTTTCAGTTTTTTTGCTGTTATCCAGATAATTAATAAAAACCAACCACGCAAAACTGGGTCCCACCCTCTCCTTTTGCTCCCAGCCTACCTCCCCAGTTGTGGGAACAGGTCTGGAGTGAGAGGCAGGGAGTGGCTAATGCCACCAGGAAGAAATGAAAACTGGCTCAGAGAGGGGGAAGCCTCAACAGAAAAAGAAATAAATTAAAAGCCCTCCTATCCCCTCCAGCCAGGGTTCGTTCCTTTCCCCAACTCCCCAGGGGGCAGAAGTGAGTGCAGCACCTGATGTCTGCTTCTTCCCCTTGTGTCTGGTGAGATGGTGCAGCAGGGCTGCAGGGGGCTGGGTGGGGTCATGTCCACTGAAGAACTGTACTATGGGGACAGAAAACCAGAAATGTGGAGACTGAACTGGTATCCCAGAGAGTGCACGACCCTGGGCATCTGGGCAAGGGCAGGCATGAGACCTCTGAATTAGAAGGGTCCAGCCCCCACTGACAGGAGGCTACACTGGGAGGGAAGGTGAAGGTGCTGAGGAAAGCTCCCAGGATGAGCCTGGGAGTGCTTCAGGTATCAGCTTCCAGCCAGAGGGCGAGAAGTCCTCCTCACAAATGGATGAGTCCATTGAATCCATGGACTTTGGAGTGGGGGGGATTTGTTCCAAAGAATGGATGAGTCCACTGGCCAATGTGGGGTAGAGGGGTAGAGAAGACCACATAGGAAGAGACTCCACTGGGGATGGAATGTTCCCCTCCCTTGTGTAGGCTGAGTCACTGGAGATGAGGGGGAGGCAACTGTCCCACAGACAAGACAGTAGGAGGTGGGGGTCAAGAGTGGAGACTGCACCGAGGCAAGAGTCCATGGATGGGGCCAAGAGGGGGCAGGAGTGGCGCTGTATCCACATTCACTTCAGAAGTTGAAGATTCCAAAGAGGAGAATAAGTGGGGAGAGGGGAGACAAGGAAGAGGGTTTGGCCCTGCTTCAGGGCCCACTGGGTGGGTAGGTGTGGGGAGGAAGATGGGGACAGATGGGAGGAGAGCTCAGAGCCAGGGTTCACCCACCGCCCCCAGGCTTCTTCAGATAGTCACCACCACCCCGGCCATCAGTGGAGATTTCCCGGAAAACAGTGAGCATGGAGTGCCGGACTCTGTCAGCCAGAGCTGGGACGTCATCTGGTGTCAGCCCTTCCGTGGGCACTGGGGGCAGCACCCGCACCTGACATTGTCCTGGGGCAAGGGGAGCACCATCATGGCCTGTCCACCCAGGTCTTTGCCCACAGGTGGGGCCCAGCTTCCGAGTGATACTCTTCCTCAACCTTTCAGTTCTCTTCCCCCAACCCTGGACAACCATCCCTGGGCTTGCCAGCTGCCACTTCTGAGGCCCTTCTCCTATACAAAGCCTTCTCCAATCCCCAGTTCAGACATCTCCTCAGCACCCCTCCAGCCCCCCTCCTCTGGGTTTGGCATTTACTGCTGAATGAGTGTTATTCATTACAGCTTTGTGCACACAGGCCTTATCTTTCCTGTTAAGATTAGTAACAGCCTCTCTTGGTGGGACCAAGTGCTACCCATCTGGCAGGGTATGGTGGGTGCTTAGTAAAGACTTATTGGCTGATGTGGGGTTAGACTAGATGACTGTGTAGACATCTCATGGCTCTGACACTGAATGATCCCCCTGCCTCACAGGGATGTCCTCCCAGCCTCTCCGGACACACCCTACCCCAGAACTGCTCAAAGCCCTCACCCGAGGTGAAGCGACGCTCCTTCTTGCAGTAGAAGTCTTGGTAGGAGGACATGACTATGGGGACAATGGGAACCTGGGGAAGGGTTAAAGCAGGTCAGTCCACAGCTCTCTTCAGAGACTCCTACAATAAGCCCCTGCCCAGAGATGAGGGAATGGTGGGGGTTGGCAGCTGAGTAGCAGAACGAAGAGCAGTAGTCACCTGGGCCTGCACTGCAAGATGGAAGGCGCCACGTTTGAAGGGCAGCATGGAGCCATTGTGGTTTCTCGTTCCCTCAGGAAACACCCAGACCCTCACCTGGGGGAGAAAGAGGGTCAAAGAAGACAAATACATATGGAGGAGTCAGAATAGGTGTGATGTTATAATGGGACCTTTGAGGCCCACTGGCCCTGCATATCAGTTTATTTACAACTGTTCTACTCTGTATCCCTCCAATCCCCCATTTCCCCAGGATGACTCACGTCCTGGGTGAGCAGGGTCTGGGCGACCTCAGACATGACACTGATGGCATCCCCCGTGCGCTTCCGGTCGATGAAGATGACTCCTGCCAGCCAGCAGGCCAGCCCGGCAGAGCCAGCCCACAGTAGCTCGCGCTTGGCAATGGGCACACAGCGGCCTGGCAGTACCTCCATCATCCCTTGGGCAGGGTGGGAGTGGGTGAGGATCGGGGTGGAGGCAGAGTGTCACAGAAGGCAACCCACCTCACCCAGCTCATCACCCTCTGGTAGGGACTGGAGGTGAAGGAGGAGACTAGGCAGGGAGGGGGGCCCCAAGTGAAGGAAAGGGTGACCAAAAGTATATGTACCCTGCTTATGAGGGCAGTTCTACCCAGGGAATGAAGGCCTGAGTGGGAGGCAAGGGGGCAATGTCCCAGAGGAAGGGGAATTGAGGATCTCTAGGAGAAGATATTCTAGGGAAGGTTTCAGGAGGGGAGGCATGGCTGGGGGAGGTGTGCCCTGTGGTGGGGTCTCACCAAGCAGATCGAGAGAGCTCTGGTGGTTGGAGACAACAACATAGGGCTGCGAGGGAGGGAAGTGGTGAGCCCCTCGCACCTCCACTCGGATCCCGTACAGGTATTTGATGTGGAGCAGCATTAGACGCAAGATCCTGTGGGGTCATGGCAAGGGGTCCCAGTGGGATCCATTGATGTCCATCTGCATGCCTCAGCTCCCCCCACCTTACTGTCTTTCTGACCACCTTTGCAGTCCTCTCCCCATTCCCTGTCTCTGGTCTCTCTCAGTCTTTTCTACACACACCATGCCCCCTTCCCCCAATCCACTACTCACTTTGTACCCTTAGGTTCCCTCATTGCCCAAGACCCCTTGCCCCTCACTTCATGTTCTCGACGTTGCGTCCTCGCACGGCACACACAGGGATGGCGAGCACAGCCAGGAAGAGGATCCAGCCATTGTAGAAGGCCATCTTGAAGAAGTACTTGGCACTGGGGCTGCAGAACCACAGGGTGGGCAGCAGGAAGAGCAGCAGCAGGAAGAGCAGCAGCAGCAGCATCCATGCCCCTGGCCACAAATCCATTCTGGCCACCTGCAGGGGATGGGGCAAGGGACAATCAGCCTGGTTTCTGGAGGAGAGTGGGGTAGGCAAGGCACAGAAGGCAGGGCTGGGGGCTGGTGCTATGAGGACAAGGGCCTGAGACACAAACTGGGGCAGGGGTCTCATTGAAACCTTCCCAGGAAGGCTCTCTAGGATGAGGGTGGTGGAGAAAGAGCTCAGGACTGCTCTCCCACCACTCTTCCCAAAGGCTCCGGATATATTCAGACAAGAGACACAAGACACAGACATCTACAATTCACAGATACCTGATAATAAATGACAACAAGAATAATAGCTAACACTTGTAGCTGGTAAGGGTCTTATAATGGTCTATACTTGTGCTGTCCGAGAAAGTAGCCACCACCTACATGTGGCTACTTGAAATGCAGCTAGTCTGAACTGAGATGTGCTGGAAATGTAAAATACACATCAGATTTCAAAGACTGAATAAAAAACAAAATGTGAGATATCCATTACTAATCTTTTATGCTGACTACATTTTGAAATTATAATCTTGGGCCGGGCGCAGTGGCTCACGCCTGTAATCCCAGCACTTTGGGAAGCCGAGGTGGGCAGATCACGAGGTCAGGAGTTCAGGACCAGCCTGACCAACATGGTGAAACCCCGTCTCTACTAAAAATACAAAAATTAGCCGGGCCTGTTGGCGCATGCCTTTAATCCCAGCTACTCGGGAGGCTGAGGCAGGAGAATCGCTTGAATCCGGGAGGCGGAGGTTGCAGTGAGCCAAGATCACGCCACTGCACTCTAGCCTGGGCAATGGAGTGAGACTCCATTTCCAAAAAAAAAAAAAGAAATTATAATCTTTTGGATGTTATCAGATTCAAGAAAATATATTACTAAAATTAATTTCACTCTTTTTGCCTTGTAAAAATGTGGCTACCATAAAAAAATTACATTGTGGCTTGCATTATATTTCTGTAGAACAGTACTGGTCTATACATTAAGTTAAACTCTTAAAATGATGCATATGATAGTCTAGAAAGTACTATTACTATTTACATTTTATAGGAAATAGGCCCAGGGAGGCTAAATAACTTACCTGAGGTCATACAGCTCCTAAACAGCAGTTTCTAGGTTAAATCTAAGCCGCCTGTGTTCCTAACCACTCCATTACGCTGACACTGGTATGTATTGCATATATATATACGAACACAGCACACAGCATATATGGTGATTGTGACAGAACACTCACAGCCATATACCCAAGGGCCAAATGGCAAGATTAAAAGTTCGTGTCACTAATGCCAACAGACACACAGTCATACAAAGACTAACATGTTCACACATAGACACAAATTTATAATTACACCCAGTGACAGATAAAAGAATGTAAATGCATAACTAGAAAAATCCCTCTCCACCCAGGCAGCTCCCCTATTCCTAGGTAAACTTATGGACATACCTGGAATAGCTACAAAGACCAATCCTACCTCCAGACAGGCAAACGAATCCTACTACCCTTTCCCTTCCTTCTAGTGACACTTTGCGTGGGCAGGTACAGTGTGTGAGGCCTCACCAAGTGAAAAAAGGAGGGAATGGAGTAAAGGTGACCTAACAGCACTTGCCCTGGGAGAGGAAAGGGCTCAAGAGGAAGAGAGGCAGGAACACAGAACCTGTGTTCTAGGTTCTTCCTCCTTCCTCCACTCTGCCCCAGTGTTGGGGGCAGGGTAACAATTCACAAAAAGGGTGTTCAGGCAAATACCTGTCATTCCTACTGAGGCCACAGGCACTGTCTTCCCATGATGGGAAGGGCTATGCTCAAAGGTAAGCCTATTGCCAAGCGAGAAGGTAACAGGCAATAGAGGAAACAGGAGACCCTGCCAGTTGGAATACCGTAGGCTTTCTGAGCTGCTCCATCCCACTGCCCCTACAAGTTCAGAACAGCATCATTTCTCCCCTGAACTATGTGGAGTAGGCTCCCAACTCCCTCCAATCCATCTTCCACGTAGCAACCACAGAGATTTTTCTGTTAGCACAGATTTTTCTGAAACACAGAGCATTTCCCTGTCTTGCCTAAAGGCTCTTCTTGATAAGTTGACTTCTGCTTACATCTTCGACCACATCCTCACAAAACTCTTTGTTCCAGTCAAACTGATTCACTTCAGTTCCTCAGACACCATGATCTTTCATGCTTCCCCACCTTGAACATGCTGTTCCCTTTGGCTGGAATGCCTGTCTCTTCTCCTGCCTCACACAGCTCAGTGTCACCTTTTGGAGGGCTGCCTGAACCCCTCCAGGCCTGTGCTTTCCTTACACTTTTATCTTGATCAGCGGGTCTCGAAGTATAGAAATGCAAATTATTAGACTTCACCCCAGATCTACTGAATCAGAAATTCTGGGCATTAGGTCCAGCAATCTGTTTTTCTTTTTCTCACTCTGTCACTCAGGCTGGTTTTGAACTCCTGGACTCACGCGATCCTCCTGCCTCAGCCTTCCAAACTGTTGGGATTACAGGTGTGAGCCATCGTGGCTGGCTAGCAATCTGTATTTCAACAAGCCCTCTGGTGAGTCTGATGTGCGCCTGAATTTAAGAACCACTGATCTTGACAACACACTATGTGTTGACTGGCGTTTTTGTTTCCCTCCTTAGGCTGTAAGCAGCTTAAGGACAGGGACTCTGTCTTATCTCCAGTGCCAGGACAATAGGAGATGGAGTAGGTGCTCAATAAACACTTGCTGAACAGATTCTAAGGCTGTATACCCACCCATAGAGCCACAGTTAATGACAGAGATGGCGGTTCTGATCACAAATTAGATAGTTATCCTCTTGAGTAGAAGTGACTACTAAAAGAAGTCACTGAGAAAGTAACGAACACACCAAGCCTAATGGTAACCGACTCTGAATAGATACATGCAATACATAGCCATAATGAAGGCAGAGTAACAATAATCAGGAAGAGGTCATCTCACAAGAGAAATGTACCGAATGGGATCAAGATGCCACAGGGAAAGATGCTGCTCTCATCAAATGTGTGCCAACAGTGCAAAGAATGGAGGATAATGTCCATAAATAAATACCAACAATGGGGTTCACAGCAGGATTGACCCTGTGACATGCATTGAGCTCATGGACACAGACTGTACACAGCCACTGGAAAGATAATGTTTGTGTAGAGAGGTATGGGCCAGGGAGGTCACCAAGGTAAGGCATGCAGGGATGGTTCTTTGCAGACCTGGAGACCCAGTTACCTTCTTCTCTTAACACTTGATATTAAGTGACCCTCTTTGGAGAACAAAAGTCCAAGGATTTAGAAATGCAATGGAGGGCCAAATTTAATGAGCATACGGCTCACAAAATATACTGATGACAAATTTATAACACACATTCTATGGTCCTGTTACATCAGTGTATCATGCAAAGGCGCATACACATGTGTTCTGTGAACTGTGACTGGGAAAACACAGCAAACAGGCCAATTCAGTCAGACATCAGAGTGTGGGGTATTCAGCCAAGCCATGGGATCCCACACATGAAGACTACTGCAAATGGTAGGACCATGGACATGTCAGCCAAAGCAAAATAAGGTATATAACCTTCACATGCTGAAATAAACATGCCAAAACATAAAATGTGCAAGTAACATGAAATTATAGAACAGGTGCAATATATGAAAACTCACACACATGCGGTACTTAAAACATGTCAAAACTGGATGTGAGACATGGACACAAGAATGAAGAATGGGCAATTCTGATAGAAAATAACACACCATTTCTACACAGCCTATGGATAGCATTGGGACAACCTAGTTGCACACAAGCCATTAAACATGTCAAAGGCACACAGACTCAATGTAGAAAACATGGCTCCCATAAGGCATTTGTGTGTCAGTAAGGGTCTAGCAGTGTGGAAGGCCACTGAGAAACAAGAGGTCCTGTGCCTAGATGGAAACAGAGGCACCTAAGGGTATTCCTAAGAGGCAAATTCTGCTGGCCTTCTCCCCTCATGACCCTTCAAGAGTCATGTGGGGTCAAAGGGCAAGAAAAGGAATTGGGGAAGGTGTAGGGAATTCCCTCTCCAGGATTCCCTGTGCACGCTCCCAGTCCCAAATTCACAAGGGTTTCCATTTCTCCTCCCTCCCAGGTCTCTTCCATCCTTCCTCCCTCTCAGGTCCCCTCTCCTATCCCCAGCAACCCTCTTCCCAGTCGGCCCCTCTCCTTTCCCCAGCAACCCTCTCCCCCAGTCGGCCCTCCCAGACCCAATCTCTCCCCTTCCCCTCATCCTAGTCGCTTTCAGCACCCTCTTCCCTCCTCCTCCCATCCCTTTCCCGCCCACACCTCAGAGGGGTAGGGGGCCTGGGGGGCTGGCCCCCTCCCCAGCCAGGCTGCGGCAGCGGTGGTGGCGGATGGCTGTGTCTCTGTCTCTGTCGGGGTGTCGGTGCCAAGGGGGCGACGGGATTTGGGGGTGTCCTAGCCCCGGCCGATGGAGGGGAGGTGGGAGTGGGAGGTTGGGCCCATAGCGGTAGGAATGGTGGGGGGCTGTCCCCCCAGCACCCTCCCTCCCTCCCTTTCTGCTGTCTCTCTGAGGGCTGGGGCTGCTGCCGCCGCTATTCCCCCGCCACCCCTCCCCAACGCCTGCTGGTTTCCGGGGCCGGCCAGGAAGTGGAGGGCGGTGATGGGCAGCCTGTTTTGCCAATCGTCTCCCAGAAACTCTGGCATCTCCTCCCCACATCTACCAGTGTCCTCTTGCGAGCCCCGCCCCAGGGCTCTCCCTCGGTCTTTGCCCCCATCTCTGGCTCCAGCTGCATCTTTTTTTTCTCTAACTCCCTTTCAGCTCTGGATCCCCTGGTGCTGTATTCCTCCTTCCGCACATTCCTTCCTTTATTCTCCATCAGCTCTCTTTTAACTGCCACTTTTACTTGGTCTCTTTTTTTCTCAACTCCGGTTATCTGCTGCTTATTCCCCCCAACTATTCTTAAGGACCCCTTTTCCCGTACCCATTCAATTCTAAACATTTATCAAGCATCTACCTACCATATGACAAGCATTAAGTTCACCTCTCTTCTTTTTCTCTCCAGGACTCCATCTCACTCCATCTCACTCTCCAGTCCTCTGGTCTGGTTTCCTTTGCCCTTTGTCCCTCACTATCTCCCAGCAGTCCAGCTCCCCCCTCCACCTGCCTTCTCTGGCCTTTAAAGAGAAGAGATCTCTTTGGCCTTATCCCTGACCCTTTCCTTTTCCATGCTCTTTTACCTCTGTACCTTTTCTTTCCTACTTCCTTCGTATCAGTCTCCTTACTTGCCCAAGCTGAGACAACCCCTTCTCACAACATACAATATGGGTACATCTTTTCTTCCAATGGAAATTTGGCTTCAGGGGTGCTTTCTAGAAAAATAAAAAGTGAGGAAGAATGCCGATTCCTCTGGAATGCGCGTGCCTCCTTAATTTGGTAGCCATGTATCTAGTTTTCCACCCCCTCTTCTCTTCCTCCACTCCCATTATCCCTTTACTAGGATCATTCCATCACTTCACTCTCCTTCATTTCCACCTTTCCCTCTCAATATCTTCCTTCCTAAACCTCAAGCTTCCTGAATCCTCATCTGCCCCAGTCCTTCTTTACGCAACTGCTAACTTCTCATCTTTCCTTACTCTTGAGTCACATGGGATCTTTTATCAAGGTCCCCCCTCTAGCCACACCTTTACCCTGCATTAGTTTACATGCCCTCGGGAAGAGGATTGGTAGTGGGAGGACTGTTACCTAATTCTGCTCCTTTAGTCACAGTGAGGGTCAGTGATTGTAGGAAAAGCCCAAACTCCCCGGGGTCCAACCTGGGAAGAAGACCCTATTTCTGATGGGCAAATTATAAAGAGGAAAGGGCGGGTCTAGCCTCCGCGGGTCTCCTTAAAAGGGGCGGGCTTTGTCCCTTTTGCACCACTCACAAAGGGGTTGAGCCCAGAGCTTTCCTGCTCTGAAGGTTTAAAACGGAGTTGAAGTCAATCCTGTTCTACTCTGTGTACAACATTAAGAAAGGGGTGGGCCTTTAGTTCAGTTTTGCTCTGTAAATCACCTAATATGGGGAGGGCTGAGTCGTCCAGCCGAATGAGTTGGGTTAACACCAGCGCCGCAGATCGATGTTCCCACTATCCAAACGTCGGGCTAATCCCAGTTCTGCTCCCTTAACTAAAAGGGAGGGGCAGACCCAAGTTCTGCTCTCTACGTCACCAAAGGAGGTTGGAGCCATTTTGAACCCTGCGACCCTAGTGTTTTCCCTCTTTTCCTAGCTCTTCGCCGTCTTTCCCGATGTCGGCCAATCAGGGGAAAAGGAAAAGGCCCAATCAGCAGAAAGTCCACAGCTGAAGGACCCGGATGAAGCGAGCCTAGGACTTTGAAGTGCAAGCCTCGCCAATTGTAGAGCAGTCACCATGGCGACAAGATAGGGGTGAAGAGGTGGAACAAGAGAAGGTTAAACCCTCACAGGATTGGCCCACCCCCGTCCCGCCGCGTGCTGCGCAGGCGCGTTTTACCTAACCACCATTTTCCGTCAAGTTTTAGCCAATGAGTTGATTTGGAGCCATACGCTCCAAAGTCCAATAGCAATCCGGACATTCTCTAAAAGAGGAAGCGAAGGAAAGAAAGGGGCTTATAGTGGGCGAGGTCTATAGGTAGTCCCGAGCAAATTGCTTATGGCTTTGGTTATGACTGACAACTACTCAGACGAATAAAGCCCTCCTTGGCCAGGCGACAGCGTGTAGCGAGTTATTACCAATCCCTTGGCATTGCACATTGACTTAGACCGTATCAGCCAATAGCCATTGTGCGAAGGCAGGACTGCACTAACCTTTTCCCGCCCCTACCCTTTGGGCCAATCCTTTCTTTTGAATTCTTTGTGACTGGCAGGCATTCAGACCAATAGTGATTAGGAAACCTTGAAGCCTGCCCAACGATCGTGGGCAGGAGGTGGTTTCTGGTTTGTTGGGGCGTGTGTATGTGTATTTGGGGGGACTGAAGGGTACGTGGGGCGAAACAAAACCGGCCATGGCAGCAGCGGAGGAGGAGGACGGGGGCCCCGAAGGGCCAAATCGCGAGCGGGGCGGGGCGGGCGCGACCTTCGAATGTAATATATGTTTGGAGACTGCTCGGGAAGCTGTGGTCAGTGTGTGTGGCCACCTGTACTGGTGAGAATCGAGGAGGGGGGCGGGAGGTGGTGGGTCTCGCTTATATACTGGAGAGGCTAGGAGCGAATAATCATACAGTCATACAGATAATCGGAGGGCACGTTCCCATAGGTGAAGCCCGACAGGAGACATAAGACTTTGCTGGTATGTGTGGGTGGGAGTATAACGGTCGAGATCTGTGGAAAGAAAGGTCTTAGGAACCAGGAGCTGAGGCACGTGATGTGCTGAGAAGAGAAGGTGGGGCGGGGAGTGGCAGGACAATGTGAGACCCGAGCCACCTTACCCCAGAGAAGTGAGGGGTCTTAGCTGTGCAGGTGGAAACAAGTGAGACACAAAGGTTAAGGGAGGCACGCATCAGTTGAGTCGGGGAGAACCAGGAAATATGGATCACATTCAGATGAGATCTGGGAGGGGGCTGGTATAAGGGCACTGTGGAGAGGCAGACTTGAAAGGTTAAAGGGTCATAAAGATAGGGACATTATTGAGCTTGAAAGTGAGTAATGGGGGAATGTGCTAGTAAAGGGGTTTGGTTTGGAGTGATGGGGTTGGGGTTGAAAAGAGGAGACCCAGAAAGAGGTGGCTGAAGGAAATTAGAAATTAACTTGAAAGGCAGAAAAGAGGGCACGAAAATTTGTATGTGTTTGTTGGGGAGAGGAGAAAGGAGAGGGTTGAGTGTGTTGAGGATGGACAGAGCTTTAGGTGTTGGAAGATCAGACAAGCAGGAAGCCTAACTAAGTTGGCTGGCATGGTAGAGGTTGCAGAAAATCTGAAAAGCAACAGCAGGTTGCTTGGGAAGAGGGGTTAGATGGGATTCTGCGAAGTCTAGGGTCTGTGTCTCTCTTTTCTGTAGCTAGTTTGACCTTTTTTTTTTTTTCTCCCCCATCCAGTTGGCCATGTCTTCATCAGGTGCGTACTCAGGAGATGAAGAGGGAAATGGGGAGGTCTGAGGAGCTGTAAGACCCTCTTGTATACTGGAAACCACCTTTTTTCTCCCCAGTGGCTGGAGACACGGCCAGAACGGCAAGAGTGTCCAGTATGTAAAGCTGGGATCAGCAGAGAGAAGGTTGTCCCGCTTTATGGGCGAGGGAGCCAGAAGCCCCAGGATCCCAGGTGAGAGACTGGAGGTGTTGCTTAGGGAAGATTGAAGGCTTCTGCCCTTGGAAAACGGTGTGGAAGATGGGAGGAGAAAAATCCCTGTTAACTTTCTCTCTCCACTTCCTCAGATTAAAAACTCCACCCCGCCCCCAGGGCCAGAGACCAGCTCCGGAGAGCAGAGGGGTGAGTCTTCTTGTCCAGTTGTGTCCCTTCCTTGACAGATTTGCCGGCTTCCCGTCTGACTTTTTCTGCCTCCCTAGGGATTCCAGCCATTTGGTGATACCGGGGGCTTCCACTTCTCATTTGGTGTTGGTGCTTTTCCCTTTGGCTTTTTCACCACCGTCTTCAATGCCCATGAGCCTTTCCGCCGGGGTACAGGTAAGAGTCACACTCAGCTCCCATCAGGGAGCCCTGTGAATCCCCTCAGGCCCCCTCCCAGCCTAGGAGCATATGCTTCCACAGCTTTCCTCTCTCCCACAGGTGTGGATCTGGGACAGGGTCACCCAGCCTCCAGCTGGCAGGATTCCCTCTTCCTGTTTCTCGCCATCTTCTTCTTTTTTTGGCTGCTCAGTATTTGAGCTATGTCTGCTTCCTGCCCACCTCCAGCCAGAGAAGAATCAGTATTGAGGGTCCCTGCTGACCCTTCCGTACTCCTGGACCCCCTTGACCCCTCTATTTCTGTTGGCTAAGGCCAGCCCTGGACATTGTCCAGGAAGGCCTGGGGAGGAGGAGTGAAGTCTGTGCATAGATGGGAGAGCCTTCTGCTCAGAGGCTCACTCAGTAACGTTGTTTAATTCTCTGCCCTGGGGAAGGAGGATGGATTGAGAGAATGTCTTTCTCCTCTCCTAAGTCTTTGCTTTCCCTGATTTCTTGATTTGATCTTCAAAGGTGGGCAAAGTTCCCTCTGACTCTTCCCCCACTCCCCATCTTACTGATTTAATTTAATTTTTCACTCCCCAGAGTCTAATATGGATTCTGACTCTTAAGTGCTTCCGCCCCCTCACTACCTCCTTTAATACAAATTCAATAAAAAAGGTGAAATATATTGATGGGATCTCTTCCCAAGTTCGCCCCCACCCCCGACAGAAGCATCTTCTCCCCAACTTGAGTAGATGTTTGGTATAGTATGGTGAAGTATGGGGGTGAGTCCCTTTCCTTCAGGGCCCTCAAGGGTATAGGGGTGAGGTTGTGTCTCATACACACACACAGACACACAAGAGCAAGATGTGTCAGGTGTTTAATCATCATTGTGGGGGGCTCTGGTTGTAGAAGAAAGCTTGGCAAGGTGGGGTTATACAGGAGAGAGATTATACAGGAGAGAGTTGGTCTGAGGCCAGAACAGTTCAAGGGAAAAAGAAAAGGGAGCTGATGGATGGGATCTGTCTGTGGGCCCCTCAAGGCCCTCCAGTACTACTCTCGCCTGCCTCAGGTTCCTCCGACTGATTCAGTTCTGCACGCTCCTCCTCTTCCTCCTGGTTTTCTGGGGCCTTCCTGAGGAGAAAGATTGGGGGGAATGCGGCACGTTGTCGTTCCACCCCCCGACCCCTCTTCGCTTGCTGCCTGGAAGCCCTAGGTCTGAGGGGTCTGGCTTTCTCCACTCACCTCTCCTCTCCTCGGCGTTGCCGCCTTTGCCACAAGATGACCCCAATGAGCAGGGCGGCTGTCCCCAGGCCTCCCAGGATCCCCAGGGCCAGGGCTAGAGTTCCCAGCCCTGATCCTCCCACAGAGCCTGTACGGAGACAGGGAAAATTGAGAGCACAGCCACCACCACTCACCATTCCTTTCTTGTTGACCATCCCCCCAGTCACATGTGTTGGGGGCTATCTTCTGCTTCCCTGACTTTATCAAACCCCTCACCTGCAGTTGGCCCCTCCTCGCCTGGTTCTGGAAGACAAAGTTGGATCCAGTCAGAAAGGAAGACTTCGGGTTGAGAGAGGGTTATTTAGTGGGAGCCCCAGTGGAGTCTTTCCCTTTCTTTTTTTTTTTGAGATGGAGTTTCACTTTTGTTGCCCAGGCTGGCATGCAATGGTGCGATCTTGGCTCATCGCAATCTATGCCTCCTGGGTTCAAGCAATTCTCCTGCCTCAGCCTCTCAAGTAGCTGGCCTCCCAGGTAGCTGGGATTACAGGCATGTGCCACCATGCCTGGCTAATTTTGTATTTTTAGTAGAAATGGGGTTTCTCCATGTTGGTCAGGCTGGTCTCGAACTCCCTACCTCAGGTGATCTGCCCGCCTCAGCCTCCCAAAGTGTTGGGATTACAGGCGTGAGCCACCGTGCCCAGCCGTCTGTTCCTTTTTTTAGCTCAGAGGGAAGAAGGGAGAGGCTTGGCTGCTCTCTTGGCAGAATTTGGGTGGGGCAGGGGAGGCTTGGGTGTGGGTGCATGGAGGGAGAGGTGGGGTGGCTGTTAGGGATAAGGCCAGAATGGGGCAGGAAATTAGAGCCTGTGCTGTCCTGCACCCTAGTCCCAGGGTCTGTAGGGCTTGGGGAGAGGTCTCACCGATGATGCTGATGCTGACAGCACGGCTTTCCTGGGGCCCGTGGCTGGAATGGGTGGCCACACAGCTGTAGGTTCCCTGGTCCTGAGGCCCTATCTCAGGGAGGATCAGCACAGGGCTGGGGGGAAGGGGCAAGGGCACACCCTGGTGGGGGAAGGGGAGAGGAGACTATTTCAAAACCCTTGTCTTTTTGTCTCCATATCTTCAGATACCCTCTCTTCCTCCTCAGCTCCTAGCCTGCCTTTCCCTCGTTAGCCCTCTGCCCTCCCTGTTGCTAGTTATGGTTCACCCTACCTCCCAGCCCCTCTCTCCAGGTCACTCACATCCTTCATCCAGTGGATTTGAGGAGAGGGCTGGGCAGGGACTTCACAGGTCAGGGTTACGGTTCCACCAGGAGCTACTGCTCCACCTTCTGGCTCCACCACCAATTGGACCTCCTCCAGAGGCACAGGCTCTGGGAGTTGGAAGGGTTTTGAGGTGGAGAGTTACACTTGTGAGTGATCCCAGTGGCCATGGGCTTGACTCCCTCTTTCCCTAAGGGTCAGACTTCCAGAACGTGCTCACGTGAGCTTGGGGCCCTCCCCACCTATGCTCACCCCAGACACGGGGCTGGATGGGGGCTGTGCGCAAGGCCCGGTGTCGGGGAAGGCCTGGGCTGAAGCTACAGGAGAAGGTGGGACGGGGATCTCCTCCCCGGGCTGGGGTCACCATTAGCTCCGACTGCAGTGTGAAGAGCCCTGTCTCAGGGTGTCTCCTGGTCTGTTCCTTCACAGATACTCCTATGATGGGAGGATAAGACAAATTATCCCAGGGTGGGTGTGGGAGTGAGATCAGGGAGAAGGCAGCTTGGGGGGCACCTTAGGACTCACCCTTCTCATTAGGCACCAGGGGCTTCCCATCCAAGTGCCAGCTAAGAGTCCCTGCAGGGTAGCTTCCCTCTGACACACATGTCCCCACCTGGGGAAAGAGTGGTGACCTCAGAATCCTTTGAAAATGAGAGATGCCACACACCCACACCCACACACACTCGCCTCCTGTTCACAGGGCCGTTTTCTACTTCTCCTGCTTTCTTCCACTACCTTATTGGGAACACCAGCCGTGAGTTCAGAGGCAGAATCTACAATTTCTGGCTTCCCAGGAATCTCTGAAGGAGGAAAAATCCAGTCAGAGGCTGTAATTGTGAAGGTTCTCAAACTCTGTGTGTGGAAATGAGGCCAGTGGAAGTCAGAGGCCCTCATGGGCCAAGGCTGGGGTTGAAGGCTTTTTCTTAGGTAAGAGGGAGGCCTTGGAGAAGACCCTGGAATTCTTACGGTAGACACGGACTCGGTAGTTGGACTTGGTCTCCTTTCCATTCCTGTTCATTGCCTGGCACCGGAAAATCCCCTCATCCTGGATCCCGACAGCCGGAAGGAAGAGGGAGCTGTTGGGAAGGACACGAGCCACACTGTCCCAGGGGCCTCCTCCCTGGGGAGACAGGACCTTCCAAGCTTCTGTCCGGCCTGTGTTCTAGAAGCAGAGAAGCAGGGCCTAAACAGTGCAAGGCCTTTGGGAAAGGACTGTGAGGCAGAGTGACGGGGATCCAAATCATTGCTGGTCTCCCTGGAAGTTGGGAGGCTGCAACAGGAGCCCCGCTTACCAGTTTCCATTCCAGCCGCTGGGGTGGTTTCTTGGGGGCCCCCTTACACTTCAGCACCAGTGGCTCGCCAATCCGGGCTGTGATGTTTTGAGCACCTACTACTGCCCCTGGGAGATAGCACCATGGTAGAGGGGTAGGAAGGGAATGAGGGCTAACAAAATTTGGACAGGGTGGGTGAGGGACCTTGAAAGGCACTTCCTCGGGTTCTGGGAAAAGTTCTAGGACGACTGGGGTGTGGGGTTAAAGTGCTTTCTGCAGGGAGGGTCAGTGGGGTTGAGGGAGTGGCTCACCCCACAGACTGAGGACCAGCACCCAGGCTCCAACTGCTGTTCCGGCTGCCATCCTGCTTCCTTCCAGGGTCCTGGCTCTGTCTGCCCCTCTCCCTGCTGTGGCCTCCGCCCTAGGTGGGGCCTGCACCCTCTCTCCAGCCCCCATCTTTCAGTCGTCTTGTCACAGGGAATGCTAGGAATTCATGCCTTTGGGACAAGAGTCCTTCAGGTACTAGAGAAATAATTATCACCCCACCCCTGGGTACTACCAGCCTCTGGGTACAGTCACTTCCCTGGGGGATGGGGAGTGTACCCTCTAGGGTCTCATTCCCTCAGAGCCCCCGATCCTATTTATTCCATCAGTCCATCAGGGCTGCCTGGTGACCCACTGGAGCCCCATCTTGATTGCGCAAAGTTGCATCAATAGGGTTCAGGCCAGACTGTTGTCTGCAAGGGTGCAATTGGGCCTGCATCATGAAGGCAAGGCTGGGGAACAGGAGAGAAACCTGTTTGGAACTTCGTGAAAGAAAATCATTTTTTTTCTGGGGTTTCTCATGTTTTTTGAAAAAAATTCTCAACTAAACCCAGGGAAAAAAGAAATTTCTTTATTTAAAACTGCATTTTGTTTTTTTTCTGTGAAACTACACAAGTTTACAAGTGAGGAGAGAACTGCCCCCGGCCCATGCCTCCCACCCCCCCACCCATCACACTTCCAACCTGTCCCCAGTCCTGCCCGGATCTTTAATGGGAGGGGTTCCCCACTCTGACAGTCTTGTAAAATCCTGAGAATGTCTGAGGGGATCAGATGGTAGCTAGTTCAGGGCTGAGGATGGGACAGTGTTGATGTTACTTTTCCCCCACATCTGGCTTTTTGCAACCTCCTCCCTCTCCCTACCCCTTGATTTTGGTGTGACAAAAAGATACCTCATTTATGGGGAAATTGAGGAAGATACATATACAAGCACCCCAACCCATATTTAACATATTTGGCAATAACTCCCTTCCCATTCTTCCCCCTCCAATTTTCAAATAGTAGTTTTTTAAAAAATTAAAGACATGTCACTCACAGGGGAAGATGGCATCTTCAATTTCCTCAAAATTACTGAGTCCAGCCCTGCCCAAGGGTTGTGGGAAGAAGGGGGATGAGAGGCCAGCAGGGCAAGCCCTTCACTGCCTCCACATCAAATGCGGCAGAAACCTGCCTGCATGAACAAAGAACACCTAAGGGATTTTAGGGGGCAAAGCTTGGTGCCCTGTAAAATTTACTTCCTGATGGACAGGCCTGGAGCCAGGGGGGCCTCTTTACCAGTTCTGTTTGTCCCCCTTTCTCTTACCAGAACCCCTTTGGCTATCACCCCTAATATGGGAAAGTAAGAAATAAAAAAAAAAGACAAGAAATCAACATATTTATAAAAAAAAAAACAAGCTACTTCCCCAAACTAAATTAAAAATTAAGAACCACCACCACCACCACCACCACCAACAACAAAAACAACAACAACAACAAAAAAAACAGATGGATCCCAGGGTTTCTTTTTCTTTCTTTAAAAAAAAAAAAGTTCAACCCCAAAGCCCAGTCAATAATTCCCTAAAGTAGCAGAAACTCCCTCCGAGGTAGATATCTGAGTCAGACACTCTCGTCCACCGAGCGATTCTATTGGTTTAAGATGAGCTGCGTATGAGGTAAGTAAGCCGTCCGGAGGGGCGGGGGTGGGGATGCATGGGGGCGTGGCCCATGTCCTCTGTCCAGAAGTCATGTCCCCATTTTTGGCATCTCTGATTGGGCAGGGCTGGCGTCTCCACAGATTCCAGAGCATACAAGTGGGGTGGGGAAGGGAAAGTGGGGGAGCCCAGGAGAGAAACAGAATAGTTGCAAGTGGGAGTATGTGTGTGTGAGGTGTGGGAGAGGGAGAGAGAAAGACAGAGGAGAAAAAGGGGTCTGAGAAATAGGTTTCTCGGTATGTGTATGTTTCTGTGTAAGAAAGAAAGCGAGAGAGGAAAAAGATGGAAAAAAGGGAGAGACAGACCCCACACTCCCCTTAGAGGCCCCATTCTTCCTGCCATGTAATTAGCACCCCCAGCACAGAGAGTCTCGTTAGGGAGGGGATGACCCCATTGGCCCTTCTCTGTCTTGTGCTTCTCCTGTATTGGGGTTTGTCCTCTGGAAGCCTGCGTCCTCTTCAAGTCGCCTTGTGAGAGCCCCCACCCCTGTGACCCTGAGGGGCAAGATCAGTTGGAGGTATCAGAGTGAACACTCCCTGGTCCCTCCGTTGGGGATGTCACTGAAGAGGGGGTCACAGCCTCTTGCCAGCTGCCATTTGCCTGAAAGGAGAGACAGAGTACAGAAAACAGAGAAAGCCCTGGGAACCCTGTGTGGGCACAACATTACTAGGGAAAATGCCCCTCTGTCCTGTGAGAACTGGACAGAGAGGAGCTTCAGGATCCACTCACCCTCATTTCCCGTGGGCTGTACATCTGGCCTCCCCCGAGGTTATCCCCATAGCCCCCTGGCCCCATCGAGTGTCGGAGTGATTCCACCTGCAGGCAGCAGAGGAAGGTATGACAGTGAAGAGAAGCCTCAGAGGAAAGAGGTCTTGTATCCTAAAGTAGAGGAAATGGAGTTGGGGAAAGCCCTATTCGAGAGGAGATGGGCATCTGACCTGGGAAGCAGAATAGGAATCTCCGTTGAGCCCAGGCATCCCCAGAAACATGTCTCCAGATCCTGAGAGATTGAAAGAGCCGCCAGAGCCTTGTGGGGGCAGAGAGGGAAGAGTGTAATAGGGCCCGTGATGGTAGAGGATGAACCACAACTCTCAACTCTTGTGGGGACATGCTACTATACTCCAATTATCCACAAAATAACATTCCAACACACAGAAAGAGCAGGCTGTTCCTTGGCCACCCGTGGGAAGAAAGGCAGAACTAAGATCACTGGAATGGCCTCTGTCCCCTGACATCTCCAGCCTATCTCAGCTCGGTCCCTCTCACCCCAAAAGGCCCCCTCTCTGCTATGATCCTGCCTAGATAGGAAGTGGGAACAAAAGCAGGAAGTGTGCAAAACAGTCAGCCGGGGTGACAGTGGGATCCACCTGCAGAGGAAGGGGGTGTCGGGGAGCTGGTGCGGCTGTGGCCCCCCTGGGTGACTGACACGGCGGTCTTGACAGCATAGATGTTTGCCTCCTCTTGGAACTTTCCGATGTTTTTCTTATAGCGAATCCTCTTGTTGCCAAACCAGTTGGAGACCTGTGGGGCAGAAAGGAGGGTCAGGTAGAAACATTTGCCTCTGAAGTCCTTCACTGAATAAGATGTGAGTGACAGCATTTTTTTTTTTTTTGCTTCCTGGTCTCACTATGCTGTTGCCCAGGCTGGTCTCCAATTCAAGTGATCCTCCCACTTCAGCCTCCCTAGTAGCTGGGATTACAGGAACACACCACTGCACCTAGCTGAGATGCGTGCACTTTGCCTGACAACTCCTCCCGCAACCTCCATAATACCTGAGACACGGTGATGCCACACTTCTTGGCAAGCTCCTCCTTGGCCTCCTCACTAGGATATGGGTTACTCAGGTGGGAGTAGAAATACTCATTTAGGACCTCAGTGGCCTGTTTGCTGAAGTTACGGCGCTTTCGTCTACAGAGGAGGGAGAAGAGCGGTGAGGAGGATGTTGATGTCCTGGCAGGGCTGTCACATGGCATGACCCCAGAGTCACCATTGTCATGGAGTACCATGTTGTGCAGCATGGCAGCTCAGGGTCTTGGAGAGGAATGGGAAGGAGCCCAGTGCTGGGGGCCAGCCTGGGGTCCCTGGGCCCACCTGGCATCCAGGAAACGGGAGCGCAGGATCATCACAGCCTCGCAGGTGCTCTGCTTCAGCTGCATCTGGATGGCGCTGAACTTTCGATGGATGATGCTCACCATGCGTTCCATCTCTTTGGGGGCCACGGGCCTGGTGCGGCTCTGCTCCCTCAGCAGGTTCATGACATGGGTCGTGAACTCATTACATGCCTGTAGTGGGGGCCAGTGGGCTGGTGAGGAGGAGCCCTTTGACCATGGGATTCCCCTGCAAGAGCCCTTCCCTCCACCCACCCAAGCCTCCTCTCCTTACCTGCTCATACTTCTCCAGCTCCGAGTGGTATATGTGACGGATCTGGGCAAGTTTGCTGCGATAGTCCGAGTGTTCGATGGAGTTGTCAGGGGACACACCACCACCAGAGGCTGCAGCGGCTGCAGCTGCTGCTGCTGAGCCGCCCCCTTTCTCGGGCCCAGCCACACCCTCTGCCAGAAGCATGTTGTCCAAGCGCATCAGCTGTGGGTCCACCGGCTCCTCCTCCTGGGAGCTCCGAATGCTGAGGCCTAGCATGCAGGCGAGTGGACTTAGGGACCCAGAGACCCCAATACCCAGTGCTCAGTCCTCCTGGTGCTTCCTGGAGAGCCAAGTTCCCAGGCTTTGGTTCCTTCCCCAGTCCCCCTGACTCCTTACTTTCCTCAGGGCCCCAAGTTGTCACACTCTAGCCCTATAATGAACAGGGTTCTGTTCCCAGAGTTGAGCAATCCGGGGGGCGCCCACATACCAGTTTTCTCCTTGATTTCACACAGGACGCTAAAGAGAGCAGGCTTCATTCGGTGGCAGTTTAGGGCGTGTTTCCTTGGGAGGAGTGGGAGTGGGGAAAGAGAAAAGTTGAGGAGCTAGAGAAACAGAGCAGGGGGCCTGAGAACAAGGAGGGAGGAGGGTCAGTCTGCGGAGGGAGGAAGCGGATTGGGGGTGGAATGAGTTGGGGGTGGAATGAGGAGTTCTTGGGAAAAGATCAGCTCCCAGAGCATGGGGAAGCTCCTCAGCTTCAGGGAGACACAGGGAAGATGCAGGCAGCAGGTTAAAGGCTGCGGGCTTTGGGAGATGGTCTAGAAAGGTAGGAGGAGGAATCTGGGAGTGGATGGAGAAAGGAAAGTGACTTGGTAGGTTTCAGAGGGAGAGAGACAGAGGCTGGGGTTGAGAAGAGTCAGAGTTTGAGGTGGCAGAGTGGGGCTGGGGGTGCCGAGCTAACTGGGGAGATCAGTGTAGGGTGTGTGAAGGGGTCCTGGGGCTGAGCAGGTGGGAGGCTTTGATGCACCTAGTGTCTGGCTGAGCAGTGGAGAGGAGCTTTAGGGGCTCTGGAGAGGGTGTGGAGGTCTCCACATCTGGAGAGAATGAGGGGGCTGGGTGGAGAGTTAGGGGAGAAGATAACGTAGCCCAAGAACAGTTTCTTAGTCTGGGAGCCAGAGGGGGCTCCCGGGGATGGGGCTGTTCCAGGAGACTGCAGGGGTCGGCAAAAGGTTAGGAGTGGGGAGCCGGGCCACCGGGGGTTCCCTCTGTGAAGGTTTCAGGGCCTGGGGGTGAAGGGAGGTTTGAGAGGGATCACTTTTCTATGGGCTCCCAGGAATAAGGAGAGAAGAGAGCTATTGGATCCTGGAGAGGGCCCTGGAGTTGGGGGGGGCTCCCAGAAGATTCAGAACATGTGAACGGGGTTTGCTGGGTCTGTGTGGGGTCCCGGAGTGGGGGCACTCACTTGGCCTGGGCCTCGTCCAGGCTCTGGTCGGTGATGGTCATTATCTGCTGCAGAATGTCCCCGATGTCTTGCTTCCCTCGGCCTCCCGGGACCCCCCCGCTACCCCCACCGGGGTCTCCGCCACCGGGAGGCTCGCCAGGGCCCCCAGGCTCCCCACTCACCAATCCCAGGCCCCCCCGGCCCCCGCCTGGAGGGGGCGGCCCCAGTAGCCGTTCGTCCATAGCTGGGGGGGGGCCCTGAGGCCCCCTCCCTGCTCCGCCCCTCCCCCCGCCTGGTTACTTCTCCCCCCAAACTCGCTGGGGCCGCTGCTCCCTCCGCCCCAACCCCCGCCCGTCTGCCCCCGGCTCCCGGCTCCCCCGGGGGTTCACCCCGGCACTGAAGGGAGACCTGGGATACCGGCTGGGCCCCCCACAGGAGACCCCGGCCCCCGGCGGCGGAGAAAATGGAGCCGGAGAGAGAGAGGAGGCCCAAGCGGGGGTGTGTGTGAGAGAGAGGGAGGAGGGAGGAGGGAGAAGGGGGGGGAGCGAGGGAGGGAGGCTGGGGGAGGGGAGCCGGAGAGGAAGAGGAGGGGAGAAGAGAGGAGGAACAGGGAGGAGCTGGGGGCGGAGAGAGAGACACAGAAACAGAGGAACTGAGACCTAGTGGAGGAGGGGAGAGGGAAGAGGGGATGAGGGGAGGAGACGGGCCATCTGAAAGATATGGGAAAGCCCCCTGGCTGGACTTCCGCGGCCTAGGAGTGGGGCTGTGTTGGCGGCTGGGGGCGTCTGTCACCTGGGTCCTGAATCAGGGATCTAAGCGATGTGGACTCAGGCCGCTGGAATGCCTGGGTTCACCGGCAGCTCAGTTCATATTTCTTGTTCTAATGACTCCCCTCCCTGTTCTACTTAATTAAAACCGAAGAGGGGGGCTGGGGGAGATAATTAGGGAGGTCTCCAGCCGCTGCTTAATGAGCCAGTAATTAACCAGCCGGGGAGGGGAGCTGGCCTCTGGCCAGACTGGGGAGAGAAAAGGCCTCTGGCCTCACCTTCCTACCTTTCACCCCGCCTGGGCCCCCCAGATACCAGTCTGCAGTCCAGAGGGGAATTATATTTATTCACACAACCAAAACATCAGACAGACTCAGCAGCAGTGGGGAGGGAGGGTGGGCAGGGCTGAAGGTCCATTCACAGCCCGTAAACCCCTCAGTCTCAGGGATCGGGGGTGCTGGTAGTGGGACTGGGAGAATAGTCTTAATCTCTCAGGTGCCCACCCACCTTCCCTTCTTACTGGGAGGAAGGGTAGAGCTGTCTCTCAGGTTATAACCTCTCAGGTGGAGGCCTGAGCCCTCAGACCCTACTGCCTAGTAGCTTGACAACTGGTGGTGTCCCCACAAGTTAGGGAAAAGACTCCCAGCCACTCCTTGAGATGGGTGCCTGGGATCCCCCTTACTGCCTCAAGCTCCCATGGACCTGTGGGCGGGGAGTTAAATCCCTGTTCCATCTCGCCTGTTCCCAGAGTTTGAGGACTTTCACCCTGTCCAGTTCCCAGGGAAGGTGATGTGGGAGATGAATATTGAGATTTGTGCCGTGTCTTTCAGTCTCTGGTACCCCTGCCAAGCAAGAGTTGAGGGCATGCAATGGGCTGCCCAGCTTTGAGACCAGTGGCAAGGAAGGGCTGGTTGGGGCTCAAGTCTCAGCAGGTGTGTGTGGGGGGCCGGGACCTTTGCTCCTCCATTCGACCCCCACCCTGAACTCTCAGCAGCAACTCCAGGAGCTCTTGCCCCCCTGGAGGGAGGGGAGGCTCTGACCGCTGGGCTTCCATCCGCTGGCACTGGAGGAGTGGAGGGAGAGGGAGAGCTTTGGTGAGGGTCTGAGAGGAGGAGGTTCTTGAGAGGATCAAGGGTTGGTATGGGGAGGCATATAGGAAACCTGTGAAGGCGATGGGGTGCCTAGGGAGAAACAGGAGTAGAGCCCCAAAGAGAACAGGGGCCAAGAGACCAGGAGGCCTGGGTTTGCCTCCTGGGGGGATGTCTTACCTGGTGACTGAGGATAGTGCTGTAAAGCTGTTCTCTGTCCTCGAGAGGACGGAGTGGGGCAGGGGCTAGGCTTGAGGGGTTTTGGGGGGTGTAGAAGGTGGCCCTCTGCTCCTCCAGGCGGCGGGACTGGGCTTCAGCCACCAGGTCCAGAAGGAGTTCAGTCTGCAGGGAGAGCAGGGAGGCCGAGCGGGGTCCCAGGGCTGGGGAGAGGGGTGTGGAGGGCTCAGAGACCCAGAGAGGTTGGCAGACAGGAGCCGTGGGGGAGTGTGGACAGGGTGACGTGATTAGGGACTTTGGATCAGAGGAGAGGGGGTGCAATGGGGAATCCCAAGGGGAGTCTGGAGGAGGTGGGGAGAGGG
This sequence comes from Homo sapiens, assembly GCF_000001405.40. NCBI lineage: Eukaryota > Metazoa > Chordata > Mammalia > Primates > Hominidae > Homo > Homo sapiens. The sequence goes on from NT_167247.2 coordinate 3,534,084, forward strand.
CCCACAATGGAGTGGGCCTTGGTAATGGGGTCAGGATGTGGGCACTAGGGTCGGGGCTCTCCCTGGGTGGGTAGGGGTACCTGTGTGGCGGGTCCCTGGAGGAGGAGGGGATGGAGGAGCAGATCGCCAAGGCCGAGTGGTGGAGTTTGGAGGGGGCCAGCCTTCCTCATCCTGAGGGGGGCCCTGATGCCAAAATATGTCCATTCTAGTCAAGCAGTGGTGGTTGAAGCGGGAGGAGTGGACAGGGGGCTAGGCCAGTGGCCCGTTTCCTCTCTGTGTGTCTCTGTTCCTGCCTCAGTTTGCCCAAGCCTTTCAAGGCCCCTGTGTCCCTACATTTCTGCCCCAGGTCCTCTCACCTCCCTTCTTTCCCAGTGTCAGCCTCCCCAACCCCGTGCCCAGCTCACCTGCTCACCATCCTCTTCTTCCTGGGGTCTCTCAGCCTCCATCCCCTAGAGGGGAGAAACTGGTGGGGGAGGGGTGGCTGGGATTTGGGAGGAGGGCTGGAACCTTGGGTTCCTGAGGGGAGTGGGGGCTGGAAGGGGTGGGGGTGAGCTGGGGGCTGGATGCCTGGGTACTGAGCAGGAAGCTGGGTTCCTGGTCAGCCCCCCCACGGGCCCCGCCCATCCCTGTCAACTTCCTCCATTCTCTTCCCACCCAAACAGCTTGTTCAGTCTCTCTCGCCCCAGGGCAGCACTGAGACTGGGAAAAACTCCTCCAGCTGCAGGAGTGGAGGGGGCTCATGGTGGGGAAGGACTCCTGGCGGTCTCATCTCCAGAGCCTCAGTAGTCCCCTAATCCCTGGCTCTGCTCCCTCCACCCCACCTCCTCTTCTGCTCTTTCTGTCAACACAGGAACTAGCTACACAGGAAGTGGTTTCACTCCTCAGAATCCCCCTCCCCCCAGCCAGGTCCCTTCCCTCCCTAAGATAGACCCTGGTGTAGGATTTGGCCCTCCCGATCTTCCCTCTTACTTACCGGGACTGGGAGGGGCATGGTTCCAGTGGGAAGTGGAGGATTCAGATCCAGGGATGTGGAGCTCTCAAATATATACATAAAACCCTAGCACCGGGTCCAACACATAGTAAGTATTCAATATATATGTATTGAATAATCATCCCTGACCTCTAGGTATTTAAAATCTATTCAGGAGATGGCCGGCTGCGGTGGCTCACACCTGTAATCCTAGCACTTTGGGAGGCTGAGGCGGGTGGATTGCCTGAGCTCAGGAGTTGGAGACCAGCCTGGGGAACATGGTGAAACCCCATCTTTACTAAAATACAAAAAATTAGCTGGGCGTGGCCACATGCGCCTGTAATCCCAGCTACTCAGGAGGTTGAGGCAGGAGAATTGCTTGAACCCGGGAGGCGGAGGTTGCGGTGAACTGAGATTGTGCCACTGCGCTCCAGCCTAGGTGACAGAGCGAGACTCCGTCTCCAAAATAAAATAAAATAAAAAATACACTCTATTCAGGAGACAAGATGTGTACCAAATAGAGTACGGGAAGGGTTCATTTTGGAAACTTATAGTTTAGTGCAGACAAGGGGCAGGGGAAAGTTTATTTTGGGCATAAGAGATATAGATATGGAACAATGAGAGGCTGAGGTAGGAAGATTGCTTGAGCCCAGGAGGTTGTGGCTGCAGTGAGCCATTTGTGCCACTGCACTCCAGGCTGGGCAACAGAGCAATACCCTGTTTCAGAAAAAGAAAGAAATGAAATGAAATTGAAAAGGGAGAGGACTACCTCTCTGGCTTGGTCTTTGATCAATGCTAATCAGGCTGGTTGGCATCAAGGAAGGAGCAGGGCAGACAACCATTTGGTACCTCTAAATGGCAACCTGTCATGTTAGGGAGTTTATAGCTGAGTGATTTGGAATGTGAAATGTGATGAAGAGATCTGGTCCTGCCGCTTATTCCTTGCAATCTTGGGCAGATCTCTGTGCCTCAATTTCTGAGTGAAATAGGGTTTTAATAGCACCTACTTCATAGGGTTGATGTATTAATAATGTAATGAAGCACTTGATGCATAGTGAATACTTAATAAACTGTAGATATTATTGGCTTTCAAAATGCCTCATGACTCCATGTTTCAAACCTAGCAACATATTGCTGCAAGGTGGACAAAGTTTCAAGATACTCTCTCCATCTACTTGACTTGTGGCCTTAGGAATCTCCTAAGTGGCCATAAGTAAAAGCCCTAGGATGAGGGACAAAGTGTGTGCATCATCTAGTGCAGTGGTCTCCTACCTTTTTGGCACCAGGGAAGAGTTTCGTGGAAGACAATTATTCCATGGTCGGTGGCGACGGAGGGCTGGTTTCAGGATGAAACTGTTCCACCCCAGATCATTAGGCATTAGATTCCCGTAAGAAGCGAGAAACTTAGATCCCTTGCATGCACAGTTCACAATAGGGTTCGAGTTCCTATGAGAATTTAATGCTTATGCTGATCTGACAGGAGGTGGAGCTTGGGCAGTAATGCTTGCTCACCTCCTGCTGTGTGGCCCAGTTCCTAAGAGGCCATGGACCAGTACCAGTCTGTGGCCCAAGGGTTGGGGACCCCTGACCTAGTGTGTGCGGTTTCTCCCTTGGCTACTAGATTCTTGCTTTCAGATAATACCCTAAATTATCATAGGGCCCCTAAATATACTTATTCTTGCTTTTAAACTATACTTACATCCTCCATCCAATCCAAATGCTGAGCCAAAAGCACAAAATGCTGACATTATGCAGTCACTCCCATCTTTTTTCCCATTCTTCTCCCCAATTCCTCCAAAAAAAGGTAACACTTCAAATCAGCTTTATTATGGGTGACAGATTTAGGGTTCTTAAATAGCGATAGCAGTGGCTAGAAGAAGCGCTTCATCCCCACAGTGGAGTTCTTTGTTGTGAGGGGAGGGAATGCAAGGAGTCATCAGCGGGGGTGGCCCTTGGCCACTTTTCAGCACCTACACAGTGCCTGGCACATAGTAGGTGCCCAATAAATATTTGTCAGCCATTTGTGGGCAGTGGGGACAATGGATCATAGGGGCACCCTTTGGAAACCATATATAGGAAAGAACATCTTACATCCCATATGCCTGCAATTCTTGGTTCCAACTTAGGGGTATTTCCACTCCACTCTGCCCTCCTGTGGCCTGTCTTATTTTCTGGAGGAGGACTGGGCCTGCCTCATCCTAGCATCTTAAACCCTCTTTCCAGAGCTGCAGCTTCTCCACGTGGAAGATGTCTGCTCTGGTGGGCATACATTCATTTTAGGAGAGAAACTAAACTCACAACCCTTCATTTTGGGGGATCCATCTTAAAACCAGGAAGGCCTTCCAGCCTGCCTTTTAATGGGTAATCATTTTTGGAATTCCTCCCTACCATGTATTCTTCTATTTTTTACCCTCTCCTCCTTGGTTTATGGGCATTTCTTGGAGGGCTGGGGGACCACAGTCAAGTTGAGGTGATCCCCGCTCCGGGGACGGAGTAAGGCAAGGAGGCGGGATCGGAATGTTGGAGGCAGAACCGCAAGCTCCCAGGGCCACCCAATCACAGGGCCAGTCATCCGTTGAGACCCTGCCTCCGCGCCCGGCAGCCACTCCGTATCTTCCTCGCATTATCGCAGGGTTGGGCCGAGGCCCGCGCATGCCTGCAGAAAACCTACGGCCGCGAGGGGTCGGGCCTCCTCCTGCTCCTACTCCCGAGAGGCTCCGGCAATGAGAATAGGCCCCGCCCCCCCGCGCAGCCAAGTCTACGGACCAAGTCCGAGCCTGCAGACAAGCTCCGCCCCCACGAGGGCCTGCTCCGGCTGACAGCGTCCGGCAGCGCGGCAGAGCCCCGCCCCCATGCGGGGGCACGCTTACTGACACCGTCCGTGCGCGCGGGAAGGGCCCAGCCTCGCGGCCCGGCGTGGCTTTGTGACGGGCCTCTGGTGGCCCAGCCCCTTCCAGCAGCGTCAGCAGATCCCAGTGGTTACGTTGGTGAGCGACGTCCGCCGGCGCTAGCCCAGCCTGGTCCCGCAGCTCTCGGGCTGCCCCCAGCCCCAGCAGTAGCTGGGCTACTTCCACCGCTCCTTCCCGCGCCGCCAGGAATAGCGGCGTCTGCTCCTGTACAGAAGAGCCAGGGCCGATATCAGGGAAGGCCACGCCCACAGGACTGGGCCTTTCTGCCTTCACTTGCGCGACCACTGGCCCCTATCCCTTCAGGCTTTGCGGGTTACCGCACTTTCCATCTCTCGTGCGCCTGACTGTTTTGTGGGAAGCCCTCTGTCCCATCTAACCCTGTTGTCCTGGGCATCTTTATCGGCTCCGGCCTGGAGAAGCGAGCGGGCGGCTCGGGCGTTGTTCACGGCAGCAGCCCAGTGCAGCGCAGTTTTCCCTAGGGGACGACGTGGGAGGTTGTTACCCCAGTTGGGGGCCAGACGCCTGGGTTCCGGTTTCCCACGGGTTCTGGCCTTGGGGGAAGGGCTATTCGGGCCGGCTGGTCCCTCAAAGGCGGGAAGCGTTGCCCAGGAGACCACCGGCCTGCAGGAAGTGTTGCCCTGGTGACGTCACCAGTGCGCGGGAGGGACAATGGGGCATTGTTCTGGGGTCGGTGAGACCGGGAGACAGTCTCCCCCCACGAGATTCCCCCCCCTTTCCACAGACACTGTGTTCCATGCCAGTTCCCCAGTAAGCTGGAGCGGAGGGCCAGTGTGGTGTTGAGGGTGGGAGTTGGGGGGGGAAACTCACGCGGCCCGTACTTCCACCGCATCTCAGATTGACCGCCGTAACAGCAGGATGAGAGGGAATGCCCCTCTGCTGCACCTATATTTTGCACGCTATCTCCCACCCCATCTGCTCAACTTCTCTATAGCATACATCACCCCTTCCTCTACATACCCCATTTATCTCTGGCCCCCACGTCTGCTTGGGCTGCAATCAGTTCTTCAACCAGGTCTTCCACCGCCAGCCTGGCAGCCAGCATCAAGGGTGTGGTCCCGTCCTCTGTGCGAGCGTCCACTGCAGTTTGTCTGCTACGGAGCAGAAGCTGGGGAGACAGAGGGCCAGTGACCCCTGGGGTACCTTGGACTGCCAACTCGAGTTCCTTACACTATTAACCCCACTCGCAATCCATATTCAGCCATCCTCCGCAGTTTCCCTGTCAGGTTCCCAATCACACCAATTTCCTCCTTGTCAAACTCTAGGGGATGCTTCTGTCCAGCTTTACTTGTAAGCTCGCCCCATTCCCTGTAGGGACCTCAGTGTGTGCTAACCTGGCAGACCTCCCGAGCATCAGCAGCCACAGCAGCATGAAGGGGTGTGCGCCCTGCCCGGTCTGGCTGGTTGGGGTTGGCTCCAGCCTCAAGGAGGCGGCGGGCAGCGGTTGGCCGGGAGAATCGGGCAGCCAGGTGCAGGGGGGTCTCCCCAGTGCCCACGGTGTGAGCCTGGGGACAGGCCCCTCCATCCAGCAGAGGTTCCCAGGGCTCAGGACATCCCAACCATGCCCCTTGGAAGGTCCCGGACTGTACTTCCCCACAGCAAACTGCTGACATCAGGGGTGTCACCCCATCTGTTGGTAAGACAGAGTAATGGGTCAATCTAAAGGACACAACAAGGGGGAAGGGACAACATGTAAGCTCAGAGAGAATCAAAACCTGAGGTGTTGGGAAGCTAAGTTCTGGCTCTGTGTGGCTTTAGCCAAGTGACTTTTCTGCTTTTCTCTGACTTCAGTTTCTTCCTCTGTAAAAGGAACCTGCAGCTTAATTCTCTGACATTCCAGGGCAGTGGTTTTCTCTTTTTTTTTTTTTTTTTTCTGAGACGGAGTCTCGCCCTGTCACCCAGGCTGGAGTGCAGTGGCGCGATCTCGGCTCACTGCAAGCTCCTCCTCCCAGGTTCACGCCATTCTCCTGCCTTAGCCTCCAGAGCAGCTGGGACTACAGGCTCCCGCCACCACGCCCGGCTAATTTTTTGTATTTTTAGTAGAGACGGGGTTTCACTGTGTTAGCCAGGATGGTCTCGATCTCCTGACCTTGTGATCCACCCGCCTTGGCCTCCCAAAGTGCTGGGATTACAGGCGTGAGCCACCACGCCCGGCCTAGCAGTGGTTTTCTCAAACGAGTCTGGATCAGATTCACCTGAAGGGCTTGTTAAAACAGATTGCCTAACATTTTAAATTCCTGAGTCAGTAGCTCTGTAGTGGAGCCCAATAATTTGCATTTCTGACAAATTCCCAGGTGATGCTGATTTTGCTGTCTGAGGACCACACTTTGAGAATCATTGTTCTAAGGCACTCAGTCTAAAATTATTTCCTCTAGTTCTGATATTAAAGGACTCTCTGATTCTAATAGGGTCAAAGGACTTTTTTTTTTTTTCTTGGTCTGGGTTGACTCACATACCAGGTCCACGGGTGTCCAGGTCAGGGGCTTCCATCTCAGATTCCTGGGGAGGAGTTAGCATGGCTGCCTGAGGGAGCGCCCCACAGCCACCACTCAGAGACCAGAGCTGGCACGTGGAGGGTGGGCCTGTTTCTTCAGCCTTTGGGTAACAGCAAGGATCAGTGAAGGTTGATTTGCCCTTTCATCGCTTCCATCACCTCCAGACCATTCTTGCCCCAGCCCTTTCACCTGGCCCACCTCCTCTCCCTCCTCAGGGCCTGAGCACATCACAACTCCATCCTCATCAACTTCTGCCTTTGGCTTCAGTGCCCTGGAAAGGAATGGGTGGGTAGAGGTTACACGGAATTATGACCATCAGGGTCTCCAAAATTTCCAGCAGGCTTCCCACCCCTCTCTCCTTCCCCTATCTTTGACTTCTGCAATAGTATTTCTTATCTTTTCTGATTGTAAATATCGCCATAGGAGAGACTCCCCTTCCTGAGCCTGGGTTTCTCCTCATTCTCACTTGAGACCAATGCTGTCCTCGCCTAGTGGGGGCCGGCGTCGGTGGGGAGCTGACTGAGTCCGAGGCCGTCGAGTGAAACCAGGGGGCAGCCAGAGAGCTCCATGCTCTCGGCGTCGACGCCGGATGAGCTGGAGGACGAGAAGAGCCCCTAGGGCCAGGAGAATCACCCCGGCCACTGGGGAGCACAGCACAGGCCAGGGAAGCTGGTTGGCAGGGGGTGCTGGTGGGAGAGACAGAGTCACAAAGAGAGGCCACTCCTGGTGAGACTGATTACTATTGGGAGACCTTTGGACAAGTTTAGTAGCCTGTCTTTGCCTCGGTTTCCTTATCTGCAAAATGGGGATGATAATATAGATTGAGGTTGGGCACAGTGGCTCATGCCTGTAATCCCAGCACTTTGGGAAGCTGAGGCAGGTGGATCATATGAGGCCAGGAGTTCGAGACCAGCCTGGCCAACATGGCAAAACCCCCTCTCTACTAAAAATATAAAAATTAGTGGCTGGGTGTAGTGGCTTACTCCTATAATCTCAGCACTTTGGGAGGCTGAGGCGGGTGGATCATGAGGTCAGGAGATCGAGACCATCCTGGCTAACATGGTGAAACCCTGTCTCTACTAAAAATACAAAAAATTAGCCAGGTGTGGTGGCGGGCACCTGTAGTCCCAGCTACTTGGGAGGCTGAGGCAGGAGAATGGCGTGAACTTGGGAGGTGGAGCTTGCAGTGAGCCGAGATCGCGCCACTGCACTCCGGCCTGGGCGACAAGGCAAGACTCTGTCTCAAACAAAACAAAACAAAACAAAACAAAAACAAAAAAAATTATTAGGGCATGGTGGCATGCCATTGTAATTCCAGCTACTCAGTAGTCTGAAGCAAGAGAATTGCTTAAACCCAGGAGGCAGAGGTTGCAGTGAGCTGAGATGGCGTCACTGTACTCCAGTGTGGCTGACAGAGTAAGACTGTCTCAGAAAACAAACACACAAAAAAAGGCTGAGTATCCATAACCCCAATCCCAAATCTGAAATGTTCCAAAGTCTGAAACTTTTAGAGTACCAACATAACGCTCAAAGGAAATGCTCATTGTAGCATTTGGATGTTGTATTAGGGATGCTGAACCAGTAAGTATAATGCAAATATTCCAAAATAAATCCGAAATCTGAAACACTTTTGTTCCCAAGCATTTCAGATAAGGGATACTCAACCAGCAGTACGTGCCTCATGGGGTTGTGGGGGAGGATTAAATGAGGTAACAATGTAAAATGCTTAGAGTAAGGCACAAAGTACGATATAGCAGTTATTTTTCTTTTTTTTTTTTTGAGATGGAGTCTCCCTCTGTCGCCCAGGCTGGAGTGCAGTGGCGCGATCTCGGCTCACTGCAAGCTCCACCTCCCAGGTTCACGCCATTCTCCTGCCTCAGCCTCCTGAGTAGCTGAGACTACAAGCACCCGCCACCACAGCCGGCTAATTTTTTTATTTTTAGTAGAGACAGGGTTTCACCGCATTAGCCAGGATGGTCTCAATCTCCTGACCTCGTGATCCACCTGCCTTGGTCTCCCAACGTGCTGGGATTATAGGCATGAGCCACTGCGCCCAGCCTATTATTCTTTCATGTACTATGAATTGTCTGATACAAAGACTATTAGGTATTCTCAGTCTGGTAGAGAAGATAAACCATCCCTTTGTTGGAGGGCTATGACAGAGGTTAGGATAATGTGCTTAGGGAAATAAGGAAGGAGACTGTAGAACAAATGGGCCAGTGGGAGATTCAGTTAGAGAAAGCGGGGTTAGGGAAAGTAAGTCCCCACAAAGAACATTTTCAGTCTCAGCTGTCCTGTTTGATTCAGCCTCCATTGCCTGTTGCTAGCATGAGAGCTGGCCTGGGAACAGAGGTCAGAGAAAGTGGCAAGGGGTCACCTACCGGTCCCTGCATGAGGGTGGACAGCCAGCAGTGGTCCAGGCAGCAGGGGCTCCAGGGCTCCCACTGCAGCCATCGCAGCAAGGAAGCGGAGTAGAAGCCCAGGGTCCCAGGGACAGCGGGATGCCGGGTGGTCAGGGCCACAGCGGGACAAATCCACACCCATGACCACCACAAACCTGTAGAGGAGGCACCTCAGAGACCTCTGTATTGGTCCCTGGCTCCCTTTCCTCCCTCTGCCCTCTTAAAAAAACTGGTGTCTGGCCCTTCCCTCCACCTAGCTTCTTACCCAGCACTGAGGGAGTCGGTCTCCTTGCCCAGGGGCTGCGTTTGAGGGGCTGCTCTCTCCTGATAGGTGGGGTCCCGAGTTCCTCCTAGCTTTTCTTCAGCCCGGGCCCCAGGATAGGGGTACACCATGTCCCTGCCATCACGATCCTTCCTTACCCAGAGTCCTACCCTCAGAGTCAGGGACAGCACCCGGGCCAGGGCAAACAGCTGCTGGTCTAGGGCTGGGGGGCTCAGTACCACCAGCAGGGCCAGAGAGGGCCCCCACTCTGGGTCCCCATCTTCAGGCCTGCAGTCACCTCCATCCCAGCCACACTCTGCAGTGTTGCAGCCTTTCTCACAGTGCCCGTTGTGGAAGTGATCATGGCAGTACTGGTCATAGGCTGGACTGTGGGGTAAGGAGAGGGGGACTCAGGACCTCCCTAAAACCTGACTCTTTTCTTCACCCTAGAAAGAATTCCCCATATTTTGTGCCCTCTAGGGCTTTGGTTGCTAAGTGGGGGCAGCTGTGGAGCAATGAGCTTAGTCAAGTCCTGGATGGTAGTCCAGACACCCCAATGTCTGCTAACACCCCTGTCTCCCTAGACTGTCCCCTCTCTGTACCCTCCCAAGCTCTCCTCTGTTTCTAAAGGAGAGTCCCAGGCCCTTTTCCCTCTGTGAGGTGCTGACTGCTAGGGGAAATACTCCATGGCAGCAAGGCTTAGGGAAGGAGGCTTGAGACCTGAGTTCCTTCAACTCTTAGAGAGGAGCCCAAAGGCCACGCCCCACATTAAATACTGATGCCACCCCATTACCCTAGGTTGGAGTCCAGAGTCTTCGACCCCTGTTTAGTGATGGTTATTAGGGTGGAAACTCCCTGGAGCCCAAGGCTGTGGCCACACTGTAACTCAGAGCCATCTACGTCCTTCCTCCTCCTCTCACCCACCCCTCTCCTTCCCTGGCTCCAGTGGATTTCAGGCTCACGTGCAGGCTGGAGGGGTCTCACAGTCGTAGCCATCAAACAGACACTCTTCAGAGTCACACTGTGGGTGGCACTGCCCGTCCCGGAAGAGAAGCCAGCACCGAGAGTGGGAGGGGCAGCCCTTCCAGGGGTCTGGGACTCCCAGAGAGCAGTCCCCTCCATCCCAGTTTCCTCCCGGGCCACTGCAGCCAGCATCGCAGGCCCCATCTCCACTTCTGCCCTCACACCCCTTGGCTCCGGGTTTCTGACACCGGGGCCCTGGAGAGCTGTGAGGGCAGGAGCATCGAAAGCCTGGGCCCCCCAAGCCCGTGGTCTCTGAGCAGCTGCCATTGTATAGGCATGGGGAGGGAGGGCCACAGCCTTTAGGAGCTGGTGGGGTCAGGCAGTCAGGACCCCCATAGCCACTGAGGCAGGCACAGCGTGGTGGGAAGCCTGGCTTAGGGGAGGGCAGACACAGGCCTCCGTGGTGGCAGTGATGGAAGCCGCAGGAAGGGGCCCTGTGGCTGCAGGTGGGGCCTTCAAAACCCTGTGGAGGGGAGGGGAGATATTGGAGATGCAACTTGCATTATTCTTCCCGCTCTCCATCAAGCAAACTCTTGGGTTAAGACGGTGCAGAGGGTCCTAGATTCTCATATCTAAAAGGCGCCTCAGAGAGCATCAAGTTAATCATTTTGTGGATGTTGAAACCATGTCCTGTGGTAATTTCACACAATGACATATTACATTCTGTTGAAAATGGATGAAGCACAGCTGTGTGCAACAACCTGATGGACTGTGGCATTACAGTGCAAGTCCTAGAAGACTAAACAGTTAATAGAATGCTATTATATTATTATTATTATTATTTTTGAGACAGAGTTTCGCTCTTGTTGTCCAGGCTGGAGTGCAATGGTGCAATCTCAGCTCATTGCAACCTCTGCCTCCCGGGTTCAAGCAATTCTCCTGCCTCAGCCTTCCCAATAGCTGGGATTACAGCCATGCACCACCACGCCCAGCTAATTTGTATTTTTAGTAGAGACAGGGTTTCTCCATGTTTGTCAGGCTGGTCTCGAATGCCCGACCTCAGGTGATCCGCCTGCCTCGGCCTCCCAAAGTGCTGGGATTACAGGCGTGAGCCACTGTGCCCGGCCGGCTGTTATATTATTATCTTACTCCTTAGAAATAGGATCATATGTCTTCCTCTTCCTCTGGAGAGGGAACAGGATACAGGAGGAGGACTTAAGTAGATGTAAGTTATTATTAATATTGAAATTCTTGGGTTAGGTTCATGGGTGTTACATTGTTAGAATAATAAAATAAAAGAAGACCAGGCATAAACCAATGTCAGTGTATCAGGAACCAAAGCTTAAGATTAGTCTAATTCCATGCATCTGAGGTCCATAAATACATATACAAACACACACAGAGTTAAAATAACCTATCTGAGGCCACCCACCACGCAGCTTGAGCTTGGGGAGCTCCTGACCTTCCCTTAGGCAACGCCTGTGATTTTTGAAAATTCCATTCATGCTATCAACTGATCCTGCCTTGCCTTTGACTGCTTCTGAGAGACACTTCCCACTGTGAGCTTGGCATGGCTTTTTCCAATAATTTCCACATCAGTGCTCACCCACAGTCCCTTCTGGGATTCCAACTGAGGTATTCTTGCCTTGTCAGCATAGGGGGCAACAGAGAAGGCAGATTTGTGGTCACTTGCCTTGGGGCAGTGGCAGATGAAACCCAGGGGTGATCCTGCTGTGGCCTCACAGGTCCCTCCATGAAAGCAGGGTTGGCTGTGGCAGGGGTCTATCTCCACCTCACACCACTGGCCTGTAATTATGGGGGAGATTAGATGTCACACACTGCATCAGTCACTGCCTCCATCCTAGCTCATTCCTGGATGTTGGCCCAGTGCTAGATGTGCAGGTGAAGGGATCCTGGGGCATCTTTTCTGGGCGGGGGTGGGCGTGGAGGCAGGGGATGGACCAGGTGACGGCTGCCGCATGGGTGGAGACTATCTGGCTCTCCATGGTCTGCTTGGCTGTGCTCCAGACACACTTGTGCCCCTTGTCTTGGGGCCTCACCTGTGTGTCCAGGCAGACACTGGCAGTAGAAGGCATTGGCCAGAGAGTGGCAGGCTGCAGTGCCTGTGGGGTGGCAGGGCTGGTCCAGACACTCGTCCACGTCTCCCTCACAGCGTAGCCCCACAAAGCCTGGAGGGCAGGCACAGTGGAAGCCTCCAGGTTTGGGAGTACAGGTTCCATGGTTGTGACAGGGTTGGGACTGACAAGCATCGAGTTCCTTTGAGCAGTTCTGTCCATCGTAGCCTGGGGCACACTGCAGACAAAGAGGATTAGACAGGGAACCAGTGGATGAGCCCAACCCAGCACTACAAGGGACCCAGCTCAAGATAGTCTGTCCAGTCCCCCACCTTCCAGCTCAACAGCATCACTCAACTCACCATCCATCATGGCCATGTGTCACAATCCTTCTATCTCAACTCCCCATGAGACACAATTGTTGGCGACACACAACTCAAACTTCCCCAGTCCCAAACAATCTCTATGACACACTGCCACCAAACACAGCACCATTTTTGGTAAAACCTTCCTCCCCTGCTAAATACCTACCAGGCTCTCTCATACTTTATTAATTCATAAGCATCTATTGAGTGCCTACTTTGTGTCAGGCACCGTTTTAGGCACTAGGAATACAAAGAAAGTTAGAACCCATTCCTATTTCCTGGAAGCTCTCAGTCAACCAGAGGAAAGAAATGACTAGCATTTATTGCATGATTTATATACATAACCTAAAAATCCCCCTAATGACATTTTATTTGGGTTATCTCATTCGATTTTTACTTTGCACGTAAGGAAGCTGAGTCTCTGAAAGGTTAGTGACTTGTGCAAGTCAAATAGCTATAGGTGGCAGAGCTGGGAATCAATGAAGGTCTGTGACTCCAAACCAATGCTCTTAACCATTTTCTGCTTCTTCATGCCACTCAGCTAGTGAGAGAAGGGTCATTGGCAAGATCTGTACCACGTGCTGGCTTCTTGCAAGAGGAAAGAGAGTGTGCAAGAGTACAGTACCAGGAAGGCAGGCTTCAAAGAGAGAAAAGGGAATTCACAGAGAATCCAAGGAGTGGTCAGAGAGCTGGAAGGAACAGGTGATGGGGGTGTTTTGGAGGAGGGAGCTTCATAAAAGAAGAAGTAAATAGCCGGGTGCGGTGGCTCACGCCTGTAATCCCAGCACTTTGGTAGGCTGAGGTGGGCAGATCACGAGGTCAGGAGTTCGAGACCAGCCTGGCCAATATGGTGAAACTCCATCTCTACTATAAATACAAAAATTAGCCGGGCATGGTGGCATGTCCCTGTAGTCCCAGCTACTCAGGAGGCTGAGGCAGGAGAATCGCTTGAACCCGGGAGGCGGAGGTTGCAGTGAACCGAGATCGCGCCACTGTACTCTAGCCGGGGCAACAGAGTGAGATGCTGTCTCAAAAAAAAAAAAAAAAAAAAAAAAAAGAATAAGTAAAGCTGAGTAATGGGTGCCCAGAGGTTTACTACTGATCAGTATACTGCTTTTGTTTATGTTTGAAAATGTTCATAATAAAAGGTTAAAAAATAAAATAAAAAAGTGAAAAAAGAGGGTAGGTTAGGGTATCTGTCTTGAGCCTTCTATCAAAAGTTGTGGTTCTGGCCGGGCACGGTGGCTCACGCCTGTAATCCCAGCAGTTTGGGAGGTCAAGGCGGGTGGATCACTTGAGGTCAGGATTTTGAGACCAGCCTGGCCAACATGGTGAAACCCCATCTCTACTAAAAATACACACATACACAAAATTAGCTAGGTGTGGTGGCAGGCACCTGTAATCCCAGCTACTGGGGAGGCTGAGGCAGGTGAATTGCTTGAGCCCGGGAGGTAGAGGTTGCAGTGAGCTGAGATTGCACCACTACATTCCAGCCTGAGTGACAGAGAAAGACTCTGTCTCAAAAAAAAAAAGCTGTGGTTCTATATCTCAAAATAATAAAAGCCATATATGACAAACCCACAGCTAACATCATATTGAATGGGGAAAAGTTGAAAGCCTTTCCTCTAAGATCTGGAACAAGACAAGGATGCTCACTTTCACTATTTTTATTCAAGGTAATACTGGAAGTCCTGGCCAGAGCAATTAGGCAGGAGAAAGAAATAAAGGGCATCCAAATTGCAAAAGAAGAACTCAGATTATCCATGTTCACAGATGACATAATCCTATATTTAGAAAAACCTAAAGAAAACACTGGTTATAAACAAATTCAGTAAAGCTGTAGGATACAAAATCAATGTAGAAAAAGTAGTAGCATTTCTATACGCTAACAGCAAACAATCAGAAAAAGAAATCAAGAAAGCAATCCCATTTATAATAGTTACAAAAAATAAAAACAAATGAATAAATTTAACCAAAGAAGTGAAAGAGTACTGCAATGACAGCTATAAAACATTGATGAAATAAATTGAAGAGGACACAAAAAAATGGAAAGATATCCTGTGTTCATGGATTGGAAGAATGAATACTGCTAAAATGTCTGTGCTTACCAAAGTGATCTACAGAGTCATGCAACCCCTATGAAAATACCAATAATATTCTTTACAGAAATAGAAAAAACAACCCTAAAATTTATCTGAACTGTAAAAGACCCAAATAGCCAAAGCAGTCCTGAGCAAAAAGAACAAAGCTAGAGGTACCACACTACCTAACTTAAAAATATACTATAAAGCTATAGTAACCAAAACAGCATGGTGCTGGCATAAAAAACAGACACATAGACCAATGGAATGTAATAGAGAGCCCAGAAAAACAAGTCCAAACATTTAACAGCCAACTTACTTTCTTTTTTCTTTTCTTTCCTTTTTTTTTTTTTGAGATGGAGTCTTGCTCTGTTGCCAGGCTGGAGTGCAATGGCACGATCTGGCTCACTGCAACCTCCACCTCCTGGGTTCAAGCGATTCTCCTGCCTCAGCCTCCTGAGTAGCTGGGATTACAGGTGCGCACCACCATGCCTGGCTAATTTTTGTATTTTTAGTAGAGACGGGGGTTTCACTATGTTGGTCAGGCTGGTCTCGAACTCCTGACCTTGTGATCTGCCCGCCTCGGTCTCCCAAAATGCTGGGATTACAGGCATGAGCCACCACTCCCGGCCAGCCAACTTACTTTCAACAAAGGCACCAAGTACACACACTGGGGAAAGGACACTCTCTTCAATAAATTGTGCTGGGAAAACTGGATATCCATATGCAGAAGAAACTAAACCTAGGCCGGGCGGGGTGGCTCACGCCTGTAATCCCAGCACTTTGGGAGGCGGAGGTGGGTGGATCACCTGAGGTCAGGAGTTTGAAACCAGCCTGACCAATATGGTGAAACCCCATCTCTACTAAAATTACAAAAATTAGCCGGGCGTAGTGGTGTGCACCTGTAGTTCCAGCTACTCAGGAGGCTGAGGCAGGAGAATCAGTTGAACTTGGGAGGTGGAGGTTGCAGTGAGCTGAGATCATACCACTGCACTCCAGACTGGGCAACAGGGCAACAGAGCAAGACTCTATCCCCCCCCACAAAAAAAAAGAAAAAAAGAAACTAAATCTCTATCTGTCATCATATACAAAATAGATTAAAGCCTTACATGTACAGCTGGAAACTTGAAGCCACTAAAAAAAAAATTCAGCCGGGCACGGTGGGTCACACCTGTAATCCTCAAACACAAGGTCAGGAGTTTGAGACCAGCCTGGCCAACATGGTGAAACCCCGTCTCTACTAAAAATACAAAAAAATAGCTGGGCGTGGTGGTGGGCACCTGTAAATTCCAGCTATTTGGGAGGCTAAGGCAGGAGAATCGCTTGAACCCAGGAGGCAAAGGTTGCAGTGAGTCAAATTTGCGCCACTGCACTCCAGCCCAGGCGACGGTGCAAGACTCCTTCTCAAAAAAAAAAAAAAAAAAATCATTTGGGAAATGCTTCAAGACATTGGTCTGGGCAAAAGTTTTTTGGGTAAGACCTCAACAGCCAGGCAACAAAGGCAACAACAGACAAATGTGATTACATCAAGCTAAAAAGTGTCTGTGCAGCAAAGGAAACAATTAATGGAGTGAAGAGGCAACCTACAGAATAGAAGAAAATATTTGCAAACTGTCTGACAAGGGATTAATAATCAGAACGTATAAGGAACTCAACAGCAAACACCACCACTACCACCACCGACAAATAATGTGGTTTAAAAAATGAGCAAATTATCTGAACAGACATTTCTCAAAAGAAGACATACAAATGGCCAACAGGTATATGGATGCAAATCAGGGAAATGTAAATCAAAACCACAATGAGATATCATCTCACACCAGTTAAAGTGGCTATTATTGAAAACACAAGGGCCAAGTGTGGTGGCCCATGCCTGTAATCCCAGCACTTTCAGAGGTTGAGGCGGGAAGATCATTTGAGGTCAGGAGTTCGAGACCATCCTGGCCAACATGGTGAAACCCCATCTCTACTAAAAATACAAAAAATTAGCCAAGCATGGTGGTCCACGCCTGTGATCCCAGTTACTTGGGAGGCTGAAGTACAAGAATCGCTTGAATCTGGGAGGCAGAGGTTGCAGTGAGCTGAGATCAAGTCACTGTGATCCAGCCTGGGCAACACAGCAAGACTCTGTCTCAGAAAAGGAAAAAAAATGCAAAAAATAGCAGATGCTGGCAAGGATGCAGAGAAAGGGGAACCCTCATACACTGTTGGTGGGAATGTAAACTAACACAGCCAGTATGGAGAAAAGTATGGAAGTTTCTCAAAAATTAAAAATAGATCTACCATGTGATCAATCTACTGTTCATTACATATCCAAAGGAAATCAGTATCTTGAAGAGATATCTGCATCCCCATATTTATTGCAGCACTGTTCACAATAGCTAACATATGGAATTAACTGAAGTGCCATCAACAAATGAATGGAAAAAAGAAACTGTGTCATATAGACACAATGGAATATTATTCAGCCAGAAAAAGAATGAAATCCTATCATTTTCAGCAACATGGATGAAACTGAAGGACATTATGTTAAGTGAAATAAGCCAGGCACGGAAAGACAAATATTGCATGTCTCTCACCTTCACCTTTGTGCCACTGCCTTAGTTAGTCCTGACCTTTCTTGCATTCCAGGTAGATACTTGCATCAGCCTCCTATTGCATGTGTAATATTGCTCCTCACTCATATGTGGGAGCTAAAAAAGTTAGTCTCATGGAAGTAGGGTAGAATGATGGTTACCAGAGGTTAGAAAGGGTGGCAGGGAGGGGGAGATGAAGAGAGGTTGGTTAATGGATACAAAATTATGGTCATATAGAAGGAATAAGTTCTAGTGTTAGATAGCAGAGAAGGATGGTGATAGTTAACAATTTGTATTTCAAAATAACTAGAAGAGAAGATTTGAAATGTTCTCAACACAAAGAAATGATGTTTGAGATGATAGATATCCCAATTACCCTGATTTGATCATGATACATTGTATGCATGTATCAAAATATCACATGTGTCCAGGTGCGGTGGCTCATACCTGTAATCTTATCACTTTGGCAGGCTGAGCGGGTGGATCACTTTAGGTCAGGAGTTCTGAGACCAGCCTGCCCAACATGGTGAAACCCCATCTCTACTAAAAATACAAAAATTAGCCAGGCGTGGTGGCGCGTTCCTGTAATCCCAGCTACTCGGGAGGCTGAGACATGAGAACTGCTTGAACCTGGGAGGCGGGGGTTTCAGTGAGCCAAGATTATGCCACTGCCCTTCAGCCTGGGGGATAGAGCGACTCTGTCTCCAAAAACGAGAGAGAAAAAAAAAAAGAAACCAAAAAACTCACATGTACCCCATAGATACGTATGACTACCGTTTGTCAATAACAAAAGAAAATAAAATGGCAACCACACACACAAAAAAGTTGTGGTTCTGAGCATATGAATCAGGCTGCTTAGACTTGAATGCCAGCTTTGCCTCTCCTGGCTTAGTGACCTGGACCACAAAGAAGAGGCCCTAATCCAGCCTGGGGAGAAGTTAGGGACATCTTCCTGAAGAAGATGCCTCCTGAACACCAGCCTGTGGAAGAGGGGTTGGGAAGGCCATTCCAGGTAGTGTCAATAGCAGGGATAAAGGCTGAGAGGCAAGAATCAGTATGGGGTACGTGGCAAAGTCAGCAGCAGTTTCATGTTGCTGGAGCAGAGAGTAGAAGGGTGGGATGGGGAGAGCTGAGGCCTGAGAGGCAGGCAGGGCTGGGTCATGCAGGCCTTGGACTTTATTCAGAATGAGGCGGGCAGCCTCCGAAGGTTCAGCAGGGGAGAGACAGGTCAACTGGACATTTTCAGTAGAGTACCCTGGCCACGGGGTAAAGGCTGAACCTATAGAAGGACAAGTGTGGAGGCAGAGACTGTAGTTAGGAGGCTGATGCAAGTATCTATCTGGAACGCAACAAAGGTCAGGACTCAGGCAGTGGGACAAAGGGTGAAGGTGAAAGCACAGACTTGAGAAAACTTCAGGAGATAAAGTGGCATGACTTTGTGGTTAGTTGGGTGTGTGGGGTTAAAAAAAATAAAAGGAGGTGAAATGGATACATTGGGTCTTCCCTCAGTCACTACTGTCTCTCCCATCCAGCCCACCCTTGTCTTTCCTCCCCCTTCTCCTGCAGACCCTCTCACCTGGCAGAGATACCCACTGGGCTGGGCCATGCAGGTGGCCCCGTTCTGGCAAGGCCTGGACTCACATGGGTTCACGTGATCCTGGCACAGGCTGCCTTGGAATCCAGGGGGGCAGTGGCAGAAATAGGAGGGGCCGCTGTCGACACAGAGGCCTCCATTGTGGCAAAGGGAAGAGACGTCTATGCCTGGGGAGAGAGACAAACAGGGATATACAAAGATAAGTGGGGGGCCGGGCGCCATGGCTTACGCCTGTAATCCCAGCACTTTGGGAGGCCGAGGCAGGTGGATCACCAGGTTAGGAGTGTGAGACCAGCCTGGCAAACATGGGGAAACCCCGTCTCTACTAAAAATACAAAAAATTGGTCGGGCGTTGTGGCAGGCACCTGTAATCCCAGCTACTTGGGAGGCTGAGGCAGGAGAATCACTTGAACCTGGGCAGCGCAGGTTGTAGTGAGCCAAAATCGTGCCATTGCACTCCAGCCTGGGCTATAGGGCAAGACTCCATCTCAAACAAACAAACAAACAAACAAACAAACAGAAACGGTAAATGGGGATGTGGCCGGGCGTGGTGGCTCACACCTGTAATTCCAGCACTTTGGGAGGCTGAGACGGGTGGATCACTGAGGTTAGGAGTTCGAGACCAGTCTGGCCAACATAATGAAACCCCATCTCTACTAAAAATACAAAAAAAAAAAAAATTAGCTGGGCATGGTGGCACACGAATCCCAGCTACTTGGGAAGCTGAGGCAGGAGAATCACTTGAACCTAGGAGGTGAAGGTTGCAGTGAGCCGAGATCGTGCCACTGCACTCCACCCTGGGTGACAGACTGGGACTCCATCTCAAAAATAAATAAATAAATAAATAAATAAATAAATAAATAAATAAATAAGGTATGTGAGTAGGAGGAAGGGTGTATTCAGGGCCCAATCTCTGGGTGTAGAGGCCTTTACCTTGGGGACCAGTAACATTCCTGGGTGGAGACTGGTCTGGGCCCAAGGAGTTAATAACTCCTGGCACTGAAGAAATTAGACCATCGAGTTTTACCTCTCTCCTCACCCTTTCTGCCAGAATATTGGAGACATACCCCTAAAGCTTATCATAATGTTAAAGCAACTGTTTTCTTGGCTTAAAGCAAGGCTTGAGCAAGAAATAATTCAAGGTATGCCTCAAGTGAGGACAAGTGGCTTAAGTCTGTCCCCTGAGTTCTGCATTCCTTTAATGTTCTCTCCCTGTGATTCCCATCAGCTATCCCTTAACTCCATCATAATCTCTTTCCCGAGCTCTTCTCATATCAAACCTTATTTTAGTGTTCTTTTACAAAGAGGGTGGCGTGACATCGAAGTGAGTGGGGTGGGGTGAAATGCGTTGAGTGTAGCTGGATTAAGTGTGGTCCACTCTGCCTGGGTTATGATGATCAGGACAGAGTTGAGTTGCTCCACGTTGAGTCATGTCCCTCATGGTTGGGTTAAACTGGAATCCTGTGGAATGGGCTGGTTGGTGTTGCTTGAATTGCGTTAAATGAGGTAACAGGAATTGTGTTAGGCTTCTCTGATTGCACAATTCAACACCTCTGCAATCAAGAACTGATTTGTCTGTGTGGTTTTGATTCTCAGGTGGTTGTTTTGGCCAAAAGCTGTGTGGAAGCCCACAGGAACGGGGCAGGTGAGAACACCCATATTTTCTTCATTTGCTCTCCAGTCAGTGCCGGTGTTGGTTACCTTGGCTCAGTGCAGCCTTCTGGCAGGAGGACAGTGGAAGGTTGCAGAGAGGCCCGGTCCATCCCTGGAGGCACAAGCAGTGGAAGGAGGGCCCAGTCTGGAGGCAGTGGGAATTGCGTGGGCAGGGCTTCTGGGCACATAAGTCCATCAGAGTCTGAGGGGTGGGAGGGAGCGTGAGGCTGGACATAGCATCAGATTCTCAGCCCAGAGATGGTCCTCTGCCCACTCCAGCTCCTCGAAATCCCTTACTTCAAAAACCTTCTCCTGAATGGCCTGGGACCAGGTGACCCTCCCTGGTTTCCCTCCCAGCCACTTCCCTCCTCAGCACGCCTGACTTCAATGGCCCTCACCTGGCAGCTGCCTCCGGTGTAGCCAGTGGGGCAGAGGCAGCGGGGACCCTGAGGGCTGTCCTGGCAGGTTGCCCTATTCCTACAGGGGCTGAACAAGACAGAGACAGGGCATGATAGGAAGAAGTTCGGGCAACAAGGGGAAGGTAGTGTGTGATATTGTCGGGAGGCAACCACAGGGAGGTGGCAAGCCAGGAGGGAAGGCGGAACGAGGTGTGGGGTGGGAGGCAGCCTGGAACCCAGGGGGAGATGAGAGGAGGGGTGGGAAGGCTGAGGGGTTTTCTCCCTTCTAGGGGTCTTTGGGCCCTGCTCACCTGTCTGCACAGCTGGGGCGGAGCTTTCCCTCACAGCGCGGGCCCTGGAAGCCCATGGCACAGAGGCAGGAGAAGGTGCCAGGCCTGTTCACACAGGTACCCCCATTGAAGCACGGGGCTGGAGAGAGGAGGCTGTGAGGGTTTGGGTTCCTTGCCTGTAACCTGGCCTGTGACCTCAGTCACACTGTACATAGGACATACACCCCCCACCCCCATCAAAACGACAGCTCACTGCCATCCAATTAATTTTTATTTATATGATATTTTATTATTTTTAGATAGGGTCTTGCTCTGTTACCCAGGCAGTGGTGCCATCAGAGCTCACTGCAGTCTTAACCTTCTGGGCTCAAGTCATCCTCCCACCTTAGCCTCCCAAGTATTTGAGACTACAGGCCTTAGCCACTGTGTGCCCAGCTAATTTAGAGATGGAGTTTCATTATGTTTCCCAGGCTGGTCTGTTCAATTAAATTTTAAAAAATATGACACAAGCATACCCTCCTTAGTTCTTCCATTCTCCTGTGGACCCCAGCCCCATGACACAGTGGGCACTCACCAGACACACAGTAGTCAGTGCTGGTTTGGCACTGGGGCCCTGTGTGGCTTGGAGGGCAGGTGCAGTAGTAGCCTCCAGGGCTAGGGTTGCAGGAGCCGCCATTGAGACATGGCCCTGAGTGACAAGCTGTCATCTCCTCACTACAGGTGGGTCCTGAAGGAAACAGGTGGGGGCTGAGAAAGGGTGTCCTCCTTCCCTCCCTCCGCTCTCCTTCTCTTTCCTCTTCCTTCCCTTCCTCATCCCCAACCCTATTATTCTTTCCCATCAACCTCCGTTCTCACCACCTCCCACACATCACCCGTGTCCCCTGCAGTCCAGTTCTCCTTAGTGGTGACTGAGACTCAGGGCCCGTGGTCGCCTGCCTTACCCTTGACATAGGGGGTGACCAGCACAGGGTGTATATGGTTTAGGGAGGGTCTCACCTGTGTAGCCTGTAGGGCAGGTGCAGTTGTAGCCAGAGGGCTGGGGGTAGCAGGTCCCCCCATGGGCACAGGGTGCAGAGATGCAGCCCCCTAGCTCTGCCTCACACTCTGGCCCCGTCCAACCCACGTCACACACACATGAGGATCTGGTTGTAAAGAGAAAGGGGAGGGTTTTTCTCTTCTCCTACTGCTTATGTTCCCCTCCCTGCTGCCTGGACCCCTATGACTTCCTCTTCTTTTGGCCCTGAGATTCTGGCCTCTTTCTTCAGTGACTTTGCTCTCAGCACCGCCCCCATCCTCCCCAACACCTGCTCATTTTCTCCAACTAGATATATGCATCTATATATCTAGTTGGAGATATATATATATATATATATATATATATATATATATATATATATACACACACATATATATTCTTTCTGTAACTTACTTATTTTCTGTCTTTCTTTAGAATGAAAGCTCTACGAGAGCAGTTGCTTTATCTCTTTTGCTTTGTGTTTCCCCCAGGGCCTGGAACAGTAGCCACACAAAGTAGGTGCTCAGCAGATTTTTTTTTTTTTGAGACGGAGTCTTGCTCTGTCACCCAGGCTGGAGTGCAGTGGCATGATCTTGGCTGACTGCAACCTCCGCCTCTTGGGTTCAAGTGATCCTTCCGCTTCAGCCTCCCAAGTAGCTGGGATTACAGGTGCGCCACCATGCCCAGCTAATTTTTGCATTTTTAGTAGCTACAGGGTTTCACCATGTTGGCCAGGCTGATGTTGAACTGCTGATCTCAGGTGATCCGCCCACCTCGGCCTCCCAAAGTGCTGGGATTACCGGCATGAGACCGTAATCAGCACTGCGCCTGGCCTCAGCAGATATTTTTCTAATGAATGATTAATTCGCCCTGGGATTTAATGCTCTTCTTTCTGCTCTGACCCCCTGGTCCTCTGTTTCCACCAGTTTTTGTGGACTCTCTTCTCCTTGGATAACACTTACCAGTTGAGCCCTCCCACTGCCTTGCCCTAAGAACTTTGCCATCTCCTTCCTTTTCCCCATTGGTCATTTCTCACAGACCTACATCTCACTGGCTGTCTTCTCCTGTCCTAGCGAAGGGAGCCCAAAGGAGGGGGCAGATGGGGAGGGTCTGGAAGATGTTACCTCTGGCAGTGCCCGTGGTGGCAGGTGCAGTTGTCCTCAGGTGGGGCACAGCCAGGGCTTCCATCAGGACAGAGGCAGTTGGCCTTGTCTTTCTGGTCCTTACATATCTGCTTGGGCTGGCACAGGTTGGGAGCACACAGGGGAACCTCACAGAGCTGGCCTGGGGTGGGAAGATGGGTCAAAAAGAAAACAGCTCCTCCACATCCTTCATTGGGCCAAAGCCACATCCTTCATTGGGCCAAAGCCACTTCTTATGCTTGCCTTACTCACTCCCTATGAACCCATGAACCTGTCCTTCAATGGGTCCCTATTGCCTTTAAGATATTGTTTAACTTTCTCAGAATGATATGCAGAGTCCTGCAGGACATGACATTTGTACAACAGCTGTGTTTCTCATCTTTGCCTTGCTGTACCCTTAACTCTGACTTTCTTACAGTTCCTTAAATGGGGTGGGCTTTTCTTCCATCTGTGTCTTTGCACATGCAGTTATCTCCAGCTAAAACACACTATCTGGCACTCTATTTAGACAGACTCCTGACCATCCATCTTTCTATCTTTCTCTCTTTCCTCATTTCCTCCTTTCCTTCCCTTCTCTCCTTCCTTCCTTCCTTCTTTCCTTCCTTCCTTCCTTCTTTTTTTTTTGAGATGGAATCTTGCTCTGTCACCCAGGCTGGAGTGCAGTGGAGTGATCTCGGCTCACTGCAACCACTGCTTCCCAGGTTCAAGCGATTCTCTTGCCTCAGCCTCCCCAATAGCTGGGATTGCAGGCGCCCGCCACCACGCCTGGCTAATTTTTGTATTTTTGTATTTTTTGAGGTGGAGTCTTACTCTGCCACCCAGGCTGGAGTGCAGTGGCGTGATCTCAGCTCACTGCAAGCTCCGCCTCCCGGGTTCACGCCATTCTCCTGCCTCAGCCTCTGGAGTAGCTGGGACTATAGGCGCCCGCCACCACGCCCAGTTATTTTTTTGTATTTTTAGTTGAGATGGGGTTTCACCGTGTTAGCCAGGATAGTGTTGATCTCCTGACCTCATGATCCACCCTCCTCGGCCTCCCAAAGTGTAATTTTTGTATTTTTAATAGAGACGAGGTTTCACCATGTTGGCCAGGCTGATCTCGAACTCCTAATCTCGGGTGATCCACCCGCCTCGGCTTCCCGAAGTGCTGGGACTATAGGCGTGAGCCACCACGCCCAGCCTCTGCTTATCTTTCAAGACTCATCTCAGCCATCACCTCCTCCATTTTTAGTCTGGGTTGGCTGGTCCTCTGTGCTCTTGTAATATCCT
Source organism: Homo sapiens (assembly GCF_000001405.40). NCBI lineage: Eukaryota > Metazoa > Chordata > Mammalia > Primates > Hominidae > Homo > Homo sapiens. The sequence goes on from NT_167247.2 coordinate 3,558,558, forward strand.
GCACGTTTTTCTCTCAGAGCACCTCTGTGGGCTATGATCAACAGGAGACTTGCTGGTCTCTCTGTATTAGACTTAAAGTCACATGAAGATGGCAACTGTCTTACTCAGATTTGCCTCCGTATCTGGCATAGTAGGCAGTTGGTAAGTGCTTGCTAAATAAGCAAGTGAATGCCTTTTCTTTGAGCCCCGTCCTCTGCTCCCAAGCCGCAATCACACCATTTACACTGGGCCCATGTGGGCCCTACGGTAACCCCTGCCCTTGTCCCCATGGTTGTACAATTATGCAGGTTTTACACTAAATAACTTTAAAGGATACCATTCTCATTCTATTCTCACATCCCAACCATCAAACACCCACCAATGAACTCTGCCCCAACCCAAATGGAATAAAATATTCTGCCAGTTCTTTCCAATGCCTCCCCTGTGAACCTGTGAAACCAGAGGGGCAGAGGCAAAAGAAGGCTCCTGGAAGATCAAGGCAGCTGGCTCCAACGGGACATGGGTCACTCAGGCACTCATCCACCTCTGTTTGACAGCGTGGCCCTTCAAAGCCTGTGGCACAGCAGGAAGGTCAGGGACCTGCACGGATGTCTGCCTCCTGCTCCCGCTGTCCCCCACAGTGTGTGCCCCAGTTTACCTGGGAGACACTTGCAGTGGAAGGCTCCAGGCTGGTCCTGGCACTGCCCACCATTGGCACAGGGAGAGCTTCTGCACTCATCGATATCCTCCTCACATCGGGTGCCGGAGAATCCTGGTGGGGCGGAAGTGGGTGGGGAGAGGAGGCCAAGGTCATCGAGGGAGGCACAGCATGGCGCCTTCCCTTGCCAGGAAAGGTGAACTTGCAGAGCTTCCCAGAGAAGACACCTGGGGCAGGTGAGCGTGGGGTGACAGGAGATGATGCAGAAAAGGTGAAGCTCAGCCACCTGCCAGCTGTGTGACTTTGGGCAAGCTGGTCAACCCTCTAGGCCCCAGTTTCCTGTTCTGTGTAAAAGGGGAATAATAATGGAACCTACCTCATGGTACTGTTAAAAAGATTAAATGACATAACGCCTGAAAAGTACTCAGCCAAATGGCTAGCCTGGAGTAAGTGGTGAATAAGTGTAGTTATTATAATAGCAGGGGACAGAGGAGTGTCCGGTGAGGCTGGAGAAGAAAGGCTTGGGGCAGCTTTTGCTGGGTTTATGATGAGAGTGCCAAGACCAGCCTGGGACCTCAACATGCATACACAGAGGCTGTGCAGGAGGACTGGAAAGGAGGGATCTTTGGGTGATTTGGTAGGACAGAGATGAGAATGGGCAAGTAAGCAAGGGAAAATTTGGGGATGTAAGAGTAGAGATTTTGGGGAGCAAAGACAGATTTGGAGGACTCCTTGGCTTGGCTAGAGAGAGCTTCAAGTGGCCTTGGGTGATTGCTGAGCCTGAACTCTGCAGGTTCAGAGGCCTGGGGTCTGAGGGTGGCCAGAGAGGCATCTGTACTCACCAGGCAGGCAGATGCACTGGAAGCCGTTGAGCAGGTCATGGCAATCCGCGTGGTTCAGGCAGGGAGCTGAGGCACACTCGTTGGTCTCCACCTCACAGAGCTGCCCTTCTAAGCCTGGGGACATGGGGACCATGAGGGCTGTGGCTCAGCCAGGTCTGCCTGGGAGACCTGTGTTCTAGAATCGGCCCTGCTCCTGACTTGCCCCACTCAGGCGGTCCTCCCCCGAGGTGCTGTCTGCATGGGGTTGAATAAGATGAACCCTGAGGCCCTGCTGCTTCGCAGTGTGTGGCCCTGCTCCTTGAGGTGTGAAAGGCCAGGGAACAGGGTGCTTGCTGGGGACCTGCGGGAGGACTACAAGGCTTTCTGGTGGCCATTCCTGTGTATACAGAGGGCGGGGCTCACCAGGGCAGGCTGATCAGCCCGGAGGACCTCAAGGTACAAATAGGAACAAATTGGCTTGGAGAATGAGTCCCACTTCTTGTTCTCCCTGGGCGGGCCTCCATGCTAGGGAGAACAGAGATCCCAAAGTGGAGGAATTTGAAGTGCATCTGGGAAGCTTGTTGCTCCTATATTTGTCCCGTTGCTTTGGGTTCATCCTGGTCTCCACTGTTTCATCCTGAATTGAGGTGGGATCAACCTCTGGACCTTGGCTTCCTTTCTTTTCTTGCCTGAGGAGTCTGCTTCTGAAGCTCCTTGATATCTACAATGTTGTCCCTTGGGTTACCGAACCGTTTTCTCTTATTTCTCTATGATTGTCTGTTGGGTGACCTGAGCCAGTATCTTTGGGTGCCGCTCAGTTTAGAAAGTCAATATGGGGTAGTGGTTATAATTGTTGAAGCCCTTGGTTTGAATCTCAGCTCTGCCACTTGCTAGCTGGGTGACCTTGGACAAGTCACTTAAACTCTCTGTGCCTCAGTTTCTTCAGTTATAAAATGGGCAGTGCTGACCTCATAGGGTTATTGTAATAAGTAGATGAGACAATGCCTGTAAGATGCTCAGACAGTACCTGGCATAAAGTTGGCGATTATTTTTCTGATTTCATTCAACTCCTTGATGTTGGCTCTGTTGCTGTCTCCCTGGGGCGACTTTTCCCCCTTAAAGCTAGCCTGGAGGTGGGTGCTGTCTTGCAGCAATTTTTTTCTTGTTGTACCAAATTTTCCTGTTGTATCACAGGGCTTTTGGGATTTTAAGGGATTACCTTGAATCTCTACATGGGAGAGTTTCTATAATCAGAGGGAGCATTCTGGGTTGACCTGAGCAAAGGCTGCAGCACAGAAAGTTTATGAACTGCTCTTCTACCCTCTCTTGCTGGGCTGCTGTGTACAGTGGACCAGGTTGTGCAGCCTCTATGATGACTATGAAATGAATGGCAGCTTCCCCCCAAGTTGAGGAATGCATAACCTCACTACCATCTGTGGTAACCCCTCTCCTAGGGGTCTTGGGTGTCCCTGAGTTTTCGTCTGGGGGTAGAGAGAGAAGCATCTGTGGTAACTTACGCCAATTGGCCTGAAGCTGTCCTTACTCTGGAGGGGGCATTCCTAGTGGGTTCAGGACTAGTTCCCTGTTTTCCCCACCCAAGGCCCCATCCAGCTGATACCTGGCGGGCAGAGGCAGTGGAAGGTGGCAAGTAGGTCCAGACAGGTGCTTCCTGGGTGGCAGGGCTGGGAGAGGCACTCATTGTGATCAGCCTCACAACGGGAGCCTGTGTAGCCAGGTGGACAGAGGCAGTTGAAGGAGCCAGGAGTGTTGAGGCAGGAACCGCCATGTTCACAGGGACTTGGGCCTTGCTGGGCTGGGAGGAGAGAAGAGCTGGGAGTCCACAGGGGTCAGGGCGGGAAGGGCAAGGAGGTGAGACTGTCAGGGAAGGTGTGGGGGCCTGCGTGTGGCAGACGAGACCAAATTGGGGAAGGGGCTTGTGTCTTTAAGATGGAAAGGAAATAAGGGACCAATTTCATGGGGACTGAGGGGCTGAACATTGGAGAGAGGGTCATGTAGGCAAGAGATGCCAAATCTGGGCAAATTCAAGGAAAAAGATGTTTGGTTTTTTAATTGGAAAAGCAATCTGCCCTTTTCTGTCTTCAGTGCAGAGGCCTGTCTGAGGCTCAGAGAGGCTCTGAAGTGGGAGTGGCCTCACCCATCAGACACTCGTCCAGGTCCTGGTGGCAGGTGGGCCCCGAATAGCCAGGCTGACACAGGCAGAGTGTGGAGCCTGTGAGGGGGTTGGTGCTGCATTGGGCATCCCCATGGCACGGCTGGCTCAGACACATGTCTTCCAAGTGGCACAGGAGTCCTGGAGGGGTAAGAGGGGGTGAGGCTCTCAAAGGCCACTTGAAGCTCCTAGCAGTCCTCCTGGTGCTTCTCTCACCCTCCTTCTCTACCTCCCACCTCCTGATACCCTCTACCCCCATACCTGTGCGTCCAGGTGGGCAGAGGCAGGAGAAAGAGCCCACCCGGTCAATGCAGGTGGATCCCGGGGCACAGGTGGCAGCAATACAGTCATCCAGGTTCTCCTCACAGCTTGTGCCGCCCCAGCCACTCACACACACGCAGTGAAAGCTACCAGCAGAGTTCTGGCAGGTGCCCCCGTTTCTGCAGTGAGGGGGACCCTGGGTCTCACACTCATCCACATCTTCGGAGCAGTCCCAGCCTGCAGGGGGTTGGGGAGGGGACGAGGGCTAAGGCTGGGAGCCCTATGAGTAGGGGAGGCCAGGGGCCAACTCTCTGGGCCATGGGTGTCATGGATGTGGCTTAAACAACTCACCTGTCCAGGTTTCTGGGCAGAGGCAGGTGTAGGTGTCCAGCCCATCCTGGCAAGTGCCCCCATTCTGACACTGGTGGCTGACACAGTTGTCTGGATTCACCTCACAGTCTGGGCCTATGAAACCTGACAGGGTCATGGATCAGCTGTGGGAGGAGGCTCCAACGGAGACATCCTGCCCTGCCCAGAGAGAGGGGCGGCCGGAGAGCCCCTGTGAGGACACACCTGGGGGACAGAGGCAGAGGTGAAAGGTGGAGTCTTTCTCTGGCATCAGCTGGCAGGTGCCCCCATTCGAACAGCCCCTAGGAGGGCAGGGTCCTGCCCGCAGCTCACAACGTGGACCCTCCTGCCCCACAGGGCAGAGGCACTGGAAGGAGCCCAGGGTGTTATGGCAGGAGGTGCCTTTGGGGCAGGGTCCTGGGTCCTGGAAGCACTCGTTGACATCACGTTCACAGGCATGGCCCTCGAAGCCCGGTGGGCAGTGGCACTGGATCTGGGGGTATGTGGCCAGACACACCCCTCCATTAACACATGGGTTGGCTGAACAGAAGTCCCGAAGCTGGCACTGCTCACCTGAGGCAGAGGACAGAGGGAGCCGTTTCTAGCATTGTACGAATTCTAGCCCATCTGAGGTTACCCAGTGCTCACTCTGGATTATCTCTGGGTCTCATTTTCATATTTCCTTCCCTTTATTACCATACTTTCTTTGCTCTGTTCCATCACCCCTGCTCTGAGCGATGTCATGGCTTGGGAGGGTTTATCTGGAGTGACCATATCTTCTAAAGTGATGATGAGAGTATTGCAAATTGGCCTTGCCTGAGAAAATCTGGGACGTGGGTGATCTTGGGGGAGGTGAAAAGCACCCCACGTCTGCAGGCAGGAGACTCAGGTGGCACCATGCTGTGCCACAACTGGTTGTATACCCTTGGGTGAGCCACTTTGCCTTTCTGATCCTCATTTCCTAATCTTTAAGTGGGTTTAGGCACCTGGAGACTCACTTCACAGTCCATGTGCACCAGTGGTAATGGCGGCAGCAGTGGAGGTGCCAGGTGCTGAGCTGAGCAAGCATCTCCTGAGCATCGGCCCCTTCTGTCCTCTCAGCAACCTTATGAAGTGTGACCATTACTCTCCCTGTTTGTCAGCTGACAACTGAACACCAGAAAGCTAAAATATCTTATATGAGGTCATGTAGCTGATCAGTGGCAGAGCTAGCATTTGGATCCAGGGGCTGGTGCAGAGCCCCTAGAATGAAGCACTAAGCTTGCCCCAGGGTTACACCCCTCCTCCTGGGGCGGCCCCCAATCCACTCTCGGGGTCACATCCTTCCCTTCCCGGTGCCCCTCCCACCACTGCAGTCTTCCCAGGTGATATAATGGCTCCCTCCACTCAGAATGGGAGCCATTCAGATGCTCAGAATGCAAAAGTCTGGAGGACCCCTGGTATGCAGAGCAATGACCCTCTAGCTGCTAGGCAATGGGGAGATTAAAGGGGCTAGGACAGGCATCAGGATGGTGCACAAAGGGGGCTCATGGCACCCTTAATTTGGAAATATTTTAACATTTTAGCAATCAGTACAACCATGCTGGTGAATGTTGGTTGTGGGTAAGTGGATTGCCAAGAATTGGCATGTTGATTCTCATGGCTTCTGTCTTCAAAGGGCTTGCAGTTTCTCAGGCTCCAGTTCCATCTTCCCCACCCACAGCCTAGCCCATTGCTCCTGCCTGTCCCCTCCTGGCTGCCCCCAGCAGCGCTTACCTGTCCATCCAGGCATGCAGGAGCACTGTGGGCGGCCCGAGGCCTGGATGTGGCAGCGGCCCCTTTTGGAACAGAAGGAGGGAGGACAAGGGTCTTCAAGCTGGGCCTGGCATCTCTCGCCAGTGAAGCCAGGGAGGCAAGTGCACAAGAAGCTGGGTGTCAATGGAGAGGGAGAGCTGGGGAGCCCTAGGGGAGCGGGAAGCAGGGCTTGGCAGCTGCCTCCATTTTGGCAGAGCTGGGCGTTCTGGCAGGGGTCAGGAAACTGGCACGTCTCACCCAGGAAGCCAGGGGCACACCTGGGCAGGGGAGGAGAGGAAAACTCACATCACTGGTCCCTCTTCCTATTCTTGCCCACTCCCTCCTCTGCCTTCATTTGTTTCCCTTCATCTCCTTCACTTCCTCTCTTTCTTCTTTGGTCTCACTTCCTCACCTCTCCCCCCCTGCTCTCCCTCCCCCTTTCTCTCCAGTCTCCCACTCCTGCAAGGCACACTCACTGGCAGGTCCCTTGTCCCAGAGACAGGCTCAGGCAGGTGCCTCCATTGGCACAGGGTTCTGGGAAACTCCCACACAGCAGCCCTGAGGGTGGAGAGGCAGGCGCAATGGAAGCCCTGGGTGCTGTGCCTCCACCTTTCCTCTTCTAGGTGCTCCTGAGAGACCTGCCCACAGCAGCTCCCACAGGTACTCTAAACCACCTCTTCTTCACATCTGTCCCCACTCTCCACATGGTACCCAGCCCCAGCCCCAGTGCCCTCCGTCCCAGTTACTAATCCCTACCCCCCTTTCCTGTTTATTCTCTGGCCTCCCAAGTCCAGCCTCGGACTCCATCTCTCGGAAGCAAGACAACAGGGGTCAGAAGAGGGGCGGAGGTGGCTCCCGGGAGGTGAATGGCTGAGACTTCGAAGAGATTTCCTCCCGGAAAGGCCGAGCATTGAGCCATCCGGGGGGTGGGGACAGCTGGACTAAGAAAGGGCTTAGTAGGCCTGACCTTTCATGTCCCCATCTCCTGCTTCCCTCTCATCTCCTCCCCAAGCAGGTGGTCAGTGTGTTCCCTCTTCCCCTCTTCCCTATGGCTGCAAGAGTCCTCCAGTGCCAGTGCTGACGAGGTTCTTCCTGGAGGTGGGCACCCTCTCACCCATCCCCCAGCAGTCACCACCCCTGGCACCAGGCCCGAAGCAGCTCCATGGGCAGAGCCGTCTTTCCCTGGAGGCCGTCTCTATTTGGGCAGTGAGAATCTCCTCCATCCAGCATCCCTCACACGGCCTGGGGCTTGGCCCTCTTCCCCCACCCCACTGATCATCCTCCTAAGGGAGCTGGGTCCCCTCACCTCACCCACGCCATGCCTCACCTCTGGGTCTGACCACTGAGACACATAGCAGCAGCAGCAGCAGCAGCAGCAGCAGCAGTGAAGGGGGCTGCATTCCACAGCCCCTTCTCCAAGCCCCGGTCCCTGTCCCTCTTCAGGCAGGGACCCTCAGAGCTCTCACTGGGGCAGGAGCCACCTCCTCTGCTCCCACTGCCCCTCTTCTTCCTCCTCGGCCTGCTGCAAGCCTCACGTCTGAGCTGTTTCCTGAGTCACACAATGTCCTGGACACCCTAGTAATGGGGGGCGGAGGAAGAGTGGAGGAACACTAGGGGGGATGAAGGAGGGGCCTTCTGTCCCTGACAACCCCTGGGGAAGTAGGGGGAAGTAGGACGGTGTGCCTGGAGGGCAGGTGATAGGAGGGGAGAAGGAATCTCGGAACCCCCTGGGCAGTCCCAGCCCTGCTGTTTGTTGATCTGGTCTCTCCTTTCTAGGGATGAGAATTGCAAGGTGGCTGCCCTGTGCCCCAGGAGGGGCAGGACCTGGAAACAGGTATTGGGTGGTTACAGAGTTCTGTATTCCTCCTCCCAGGAGAGGATGCTTAATTTGCCAGGTTATTACAGATGCTTCTCAGAGAACCTGCAACTTGTCATAATTTGAAACCACTCACCTTGGCTAAAGGAACCCAGGGGCTTCTGGGCCTTATCTTGGCTCTTGCCAGGACTTATTTTTCTCCTTCTGGCAAATGGGCAAGATGCTGGCCGGTTTTGGGGAAATCTTGGTCTTCCTGTTGTAGGGGAATGTTAAGACTGTCATTATCAGTGATAAATGAACATAGTCTACCCTAAATTTTGCAGTCTGAATTGTCTGTAACAAACACTGAATTTGGGTAGTTTTCACTTCCTCCATCTCTGCCTCCCTCCGCTGTCAAGGTCCTTGGGATGCAGGGAATGCCAGTCAGAATGCAAAATTGGAGTCAATAAAATCACAAAAGAGAATTCTTTGCCTCAGAATGCTCATCCTACCTTCTTGAGTCAACCCAGGACAACTTTGGGGTCAACCACACACTGAGTTCCTTTAGTAGCACAGGGAACTGAGAGTCCAGGGTGGCAGAAGGTGTCAGTGGCAGCTGTGCTCTCCCTGGTGTTGAGGCACTCATGGCTGCTGCTGGTGCACCTGAGAGCCTTCCCCTACCGGGGAATATACTTCACCAGCACCACTTTCTTCCTTTTTTTAGCTTTTTATTTTAAAATACTTTTAATCTCATGGGAAAGGGGCAAAAATACTAAAAAGAATTCCAGGATACCCTTCACTCAGATTCATCCACTAATATCATTTGACCACATTTACTTTATCATTATTTCTCTATAAATACACATTTGTATTTTTTTCTGAACCATTTGAGAGTAAGTTGCATACAAGATACCCTTTACCCTTAAATCCATCAGTGCAAATTTTCTAAGAACAAAACATTCTTTTACATAATATAGTACAATTATCCAAATCAGGAAACTTAGACCGATGTAATACTATGATCTAATTGACAGTCCAAATTCAGGTCCTGCCAATTGCCCCATAATGTCCTTCATGACAATTTTTTCCTTTGGTCTAGGATCTCATTTGGCATCCTGCATTGCATTTAGCTGTCGAGTCTTTTTAGTTTCCTTTAATATGAGTACAGTACCTTAAATGTACTTTGCCTTTCATTATATTGACTTTTTTTTTTTTTTTTTTGAGACAGTCCAGGCTGGATTGCAGTGGCACGACCTTGGCTCACTGCAACCTCCACCGCCTGGGTTCAAGCAATTCTCGTGCCTCAGCCTCCTGAGTAGCTGGGATTACAGGCGCCCACCACCACGCCTGGCTGACTTTTTGTATTTTAGTAGAGACAGGGTTTCACCATGGTGCCCAGGCTGGTCTCAAACTCCTGAGCTTAGGCAATCCACCCATCTTGGCCTCCCAAAGTGCTGGGATTACAGGCGTGAGCCACCGCACCTGGCCGATACTGGCATTTTTAAGCATACAGGACAGTTGTTTTGTAGACTGTTCCTAAATTTGAGTATGTCTGGTGTTTATGCATTTTTGGGCACGAGTACCAGTGTATCACATTAGGAAGCCCGTGAGCCAGCATCATTTATAATGGTCACCCAGTATTCTACTAGTTCATTTAAACCAATTTCCTATTATAGCATGTTTAGGTGGGTCTCAATTTGCTTTCTGTTTTTTTAGAGACAGGGTCTTGCTCTGTCACTCAGGCTGGAGTGCAGTGGCACGCACATAGCTCACTATAACCTTGAATTCCTGGGCTCACGGCAACCTCCTTCCTCGGCCTCCCAAAGCTCTGGGATTACAGGTGTGTACCACCACACCTGGCCTTCAATTTTTAAACATATAATAAACTGAGCTGTGGTAAATATTCTTTTTTTTCTTTTTCTTCTTCTTTTTTTTTTTTTTTGAGATGGAGTCTCACTCTGTTGTCCAGGATGGAGTGCAGTTGTGTGATCTCGGTTCACGGCAACCTCTGCTTCCTGGGTTCAAGCTACTCCTGCCTCAGCCTCCTGAGTAGCTGGGATTACAGGCACATGCCTGGCTGATTTTTGTATTTTTAGTAGAGACGGGGTTTCATCATGTTATCCAGGCTGGTCTCGAACTCCTGACCTCAGGTAATCTGACCACCTCTTTCGGCCTCCCAAAGTGCTAGGATTATAGGTGTGAGCCACCGCGCCCAGACCTTCGGTAAATATCCTTGAACTTACATATTTGCATGGCTAATTATTGCCTTAGGCTAAATTCTAGAAGTGAAACCCCTGAGTGAAAGGGTGAAGACATAGACTTGTTTTAAAGCTCTTGGTCTCTATGTGTTGCCAAGCCATTCTCCAGAAAGCAGTGAGGCCTTTCTACTCCAGTTAGTAGTGTCTGCCTGTGTCCTTACTCTCGCCAACCCTCCACATTAGAATCCTCGCCACTTTGATAGATGAAATGGTCTCTTATTGCTCCTTTAAACTGCACATTTGTTGTTAAATGTCAACATTCTTTTTAACTGTTTAATGGCTATTCGTGTTTCCTGTCCATGCTTTTGTGAGTTTCCTGTCCATGCTTTTGTCCCATTGTCCTATTGGTGTCATTGTCATTTTCCCATCACCTTCCTTAGTCGAGGAGGCAATTGTGGGTATGGGGAAGAGGAACCCTAGTGTAAAAGTCCCTGCTTTTGTACTCTCTGGTTTGCTGACTGGGGATTTGGTGCTGGTGAGTAGTGAAAGGAAAATGGGAAGAGACAACAGGTTTCTCATGGAACCGCGAAGACCTTGGTGGAAAGAACTGAACTCACCATTTCTGCAATGTTGACAATCTAACACCATTTGTGGAAAGGGAGGCTGGGGCACTAGGCTGGAGCTTGAGAAAAAGGAGAAATTGCAACGGAGACAGAGAAGTGGTTAGGTGGAAGGGAACCAGAAGTGTGGTGGGCAGAAGCTGAGTTTAAAGACAGTGTCAGGAAGCTGCCTGCCCACTTCTTGCTTTATCCTGCTTAAGGTAAGGCAGTGTGCACCTGCTCAGGCATTATGAGCTATGCTTGGGTCCCAGATACTTTTCCTGGCCTCTAAGACCTTACAGCCCAAAGCAGTATTGATGCTCCCCCAAGAGCTTGTTTCTCCTTCCCAATGGTTTCCCAAGGGTTGATACTGACCAGGGTGGTACCATCATCACTACAGTGAACTGCAGCATGCCAGGGATACAGATAGTTCCCTCTGGGAAATGACCCTTTTTCCTACAGTATTTCATCAAATAGAGATTCATTTTATTAAAGGGATTTTCTTTCATTGTATACCCCCTGAGAAGGATAAACCTGTCAGTCATTCACACTTCAGTCATAGGGACTTGTGACCTTAAAAGGTGAACTCCGAGGTTGGCCCTGATAATGTGTCCAAACACAAAGAAGGCAATAGGCCACTGTAGCCATAGAGATAAGCAAGAGTGCCAGGTGCAGCGGTGGCTCATGCCTGTACTCCCAGCACTTTGGGAGGCCAAGGTGGGAGAATCACTTGATCCCAGGAGTTCAAGATCAGCCTGGGCAACATAGGGAAACCCCATCCCTATGAAAAAATACAAAAATTAGCAGGCCGTGGTGATGCACACCTGTTGCCCCAGCTACTTGGGAGGCTGACGTGGGAGGATCACTTGAGCCCAGGAGGTTGAGGCTGCAACGAGCCATAATCATGCCACTGCAATCCAGCCAGGGTGACAAGGTGAGACCAGAGTGAGAAAAAAAAAAAAAAAAAAGAAATAAGCAAGAGTAATCCACTCTTGGAGATTATTTGTAAATATATGGTTCGGGAGATATGGAGCCCCTCGTTGCCCCAGGCCCCTCCCTCTCTGCCTCCCTGTTGGTTACTCTTCATCTCTCCAACCTCTTACCATTGTAGTGTCCATGGTTATTCCCTGGGCCTCTTCTAGTTTTCTGTCTCCCTAGGTGATCTCATCCAGTCTCCTGGCTCCCTACCAGATTCAGATACCATCTATGAAGACCACCTTTGTGCTGATGACTCTCAAGATCATACACTTCCCGGAACTCCAGACTTGTACTTCCAAGTACAAGTACCACAAACTTAACATGTCCAGAACTGACCTGATCTTCTCCCTTAACCTTCTCTTCCTTCCTGATAGAATTGAGTTTTGCAGTTCTATTCTTTCCATTGTTTAGGCCCAAATCCTTGAAGATATTGCTGACTCCTCTCTTTTTCTCATACTCCACATCCAAACTGTCTTAAATCCTGTGGACTCTACCTTCAAAATATGTATATCCAGGCCGGGCGCGGTGGCTCACGCCTGTAATCCCAGCACTTTGGGAGGCCGAGGCGGGTGGATCATGAGGTCAGGAGATCGAGACCATCCTGGCTAACAAGGTGAAACCCCGTCTCTACTAAAAATACAAAAAATTAGCCGGGCGCGGTGGCGGGCGCCTGTGGTCCCAGCTACTCGGGAGACTGAGTCAGGAGAATGGCGTGAACCCGGGAAGCGGAGCTTGCAGTGAGCCGAGATTGCGCCACTGCAGTCCGCAGTCCGGCCTGGGCGACAGAGCGAGACTCCGTCTCAAAAAAAAAAAAAAAAAAAATATGTATATCCAGAATCTGAGCACTTCTCATCTCTTCTCATCCCTATTGCCAATATCCTAGTCCAAGCCTATGTCATCTCTTGCATCTCCTAACTTGTCTTCCTGCTGCTGTCCTTGCTCTCCTTGTCCATATCTCTACACAGCAGCCAAAGTGAGTCAGTTGAAATACAAGTTAGACCACCTCACTCCTCTGCTCAAAAGTCTCCAATCGCTTCTCCACTCACTCAGAGTAAAGCTAACTTTCCTACAGGGCCTGCAAGGCTCTGCACAAGGCCTTTCCCTCTCAATCTCTTTCTCTCTCTCTCTTTTTTTTTTTGTTGAGACGCAGTCTTGCTCTGTGGCCCAGGCTGGAGTGCAGTGGTGCAATCTCGGCTCACTGCAACCTCCGCCTCCCGGGTTCAAGCGATTCTCCTGCCTCAGCCTCCTGAGTAGCTGGGACTACAGGTGCGTGCCACCACGCCGGGCTATTTTTTTGTATTTTTAGTAGAGATAGGGTTTCACCGTGTTAGCCAGGATGGTCTCTATCTCCTAACCTACCTGCCTCGGCCTCCCAAAGTGCTGGGATTACAGGCATGAGCCACTGCCCCCCAGCCAAGGCCCTTCCCTCTCTAACCTCATCTTTGATTACTTCTCACCATCCAGCCCCATTAGCTTCCTGCTGTTCTTGAAACAGGCACATTCACACCTTAGAGCCTTGTTCTTCTCACTGCCTGAACTGCTTCCTTCCCCAGCTGTCTTCGTGGCTCTGTCCCTCATCTCAAAAGGCACCTAATCAAGGCCTTCCTTGGCTACCCCATTTCAAAACTGGAAGCCTTCTCTCATGTTCCCCACCCCCATTGGCTTTTCTCCTTATTATTTCTCACCATCTAACTAACATATATTTAATTTATATTTCTTATTTACTGACTGCCAATTCCACAAAGTCAAGGATTTTTGTCTTTTTCATTTACTTGTTTTTGGACTTGACCATGCCTCAGTGTGTGGAGCAGGACCTCAACTCAGCGTGCACTGTCTCACTTAAAATACCCCCAGGAGGAGGATACCATTACCTCCACCCACAGTGAGATGTGGAGCTCAGAGAAGTTGAGTCACTTGTACAAGTTCATATAGCTACTAAGTGTGTTTCAGATGTGAGTTATTCACATCCAAACCCATGTTCTTTCTACCCTGAGGCGCCATCTGTCTTAGTAGGGTTTATTTTTTGTCATTTAAAAAACTAATGTGGGCATGGCTGGGAAACAAGTTTCTGCTTCGATTACATCAGAAACTACAGATCCAGACATTCTCTTATGCCTTTGCTGACATTCAGTGCAGCATTCAGTAAGTACTGATGCATGTCATTTGCTTATTTACTTATCAATTCATTTACACAGTATTTATTGAACACAGTCTTTATACCCCGCAATGTTTTAGGCCCTGAATTTATGGTCTTGAACAAAATAGACAGATACCAAGTAAATATGAAATATAATATCAGATAGCGATAAGGAGTATGAGATGATATAAGGCAGGGTGAGGGGAGAGAGAACTTGGGGGCTACTTTAGATTGGGAGGTTGGTCGGGTGCGGTGGCTCACACCTGTAATCCCAGCACTTTGGGTGGTGGAGGTGGGATCATCTGAGGTCAGGAGTTCGAGACTAGCCTAGCCAACATGGTGAAACCGTGTCTCTACCAAAAATGCAAAAATCAGCCAGGCATAGTGGCACACGCCTGTAGTCTCAGCTACTCCAGAGGCTGAGGCAGGAGAACCACTTGAACCTGGGAGGTGGAGGTTGCATTGAGCTGAAATTAAGCCATTGCACTCCAGCGTGGGTGACAGAGCAAGACTCCGCCTCAGGCCGGGCGTGGTGGCTCACACCTGTAATCCCAGCACTTTGGGAGACCAAGGCAGGTGGATCACCTGAGGTCAGGAGTTTGAGACCAGCCTGACCAATATGGTGAAACCCCATCTCTACTAAAAATACAAAAATTAGCCGGGCATAGTGGTGCACGCCTGTAGTCCCAGCTACTCGGGAGATTGAGACAGGAGAATCGCTTGAACCCGGGAGGTAGAGGTTGCAGTGAGCTGAGATCGTGCCACTGCACTCCAACCTGGGTGACAGAGTGAGACTCTGTCTCAAAAAAAAAAAAAAAAAAAAAAAAAAGACTGAGAGGTCAATAAGAGATGGCACCTGTAGTTTCAAAAATAAGTACCAAATTAAACTGCTCATCACCACACCCCTACCATCTCTAATTAGGAGTATTGTGATAGTATCCTACCTGGCTCCCTTGCTTCCAACTTGCCCCCAACTGTTGGCCCAGGCCATTCTCGATGTGGTGACCAGTGAGAGATGATTGGGGCATGGTGAGTCTGATTTGGAATATATTTTAAAACTAGAGTGGGTATAGTTTGACTGAATAAGGGGTACACAGGTTGGGTCTCCAGGAAGTGGACTTTGAGATTTAACCCGGAGCTGGGATGGCCCTTCAGAGCCATCCCCAACTGGGGCAAGGGAGCTGGGTTTTTGCCCCCCACATTAATCAGTCACGGAAGGTGGGTTGCCCCTAGAAAGAGTGTGACCTTGGGGAAGCAATTATCTTCAGTCCACAAAGAGGGCTGAGAGGTGAGGGCTGTCCTTGAGCAGAAGACTTGGGTAACACTGTCAACTAACTAAGCCTAACGGACATCTATAAAACACTCTGCTAAACAATAGCAGGATATACCATTTTTCTCAAGTGTACATGGAACGTTCTCCAGGATAGGCCATATGCTAGGCCATAAAACACGTCTCAATAATTTTAAAAGGACTGAAATAATACAAAGATGTTCTCTGATCACAATAGAATTAAATTAGAAATCAACAACAACAGGAAATTTGAGAAAATTACAAGTGTGTGAAAATTAAACAGCATGCTTCTAAACAACCAATGGGTGGAAGAAGAAATCACAAGGAAAACCAGAAAATATTTCAAGCTGAATGAAAATTGAAACAGAACATATCAGAATTAATTTTTGACATGTAGCTAAAGCTATGCTTAGAGGGGATTTATAGCTTGTAATTCCTATATTACCTCATACCATACACAAAAAACCAACTTAAAATTGATCATAGACCTAAATGTAAGTGCAAAACTATAAAACTATTAGAAAAAGGCCTAAAAGTAGATATTCATGATGTTGGGCTAGGCAATGATTTCTTACATATGATACTTTCTTACATCTACACAAGCAATAAAATAGTATTTTGTTTTTGGAGACAGGGTCCTGGTATGTCACCCAGTCTGGAGTGCCATGGTGCAATCATAGTTCACTGCAGCCTCAACTCCCGGGCTCAAGTGATCCTCCTGCCTCAGCTTCCTGGATAGCTGGGACTACAGGTGCATACAACCACGCTTGGTTAATTGTTAAATTTTTTTTTTTTTTTTTTTTTTGGTGTGGAGACAGGGTCTCACTATATTGCCCATGCTTCACATAAAATATTGATAATTGGATTTCATCAAAATTGAAAACTTTTGTACTCCAAAAGGCACCATCAAGAAAGTGAAGGCTGGGTGTGGTGGCTTACACCTGTAATCCTAGCACTTTGAGAGGCCGAGGCAGGTGGATCACTTGGGGCCAAGAGTTTGAGACCAGCCTGGCCAACATGGTGAAACCCTGTCTCTAAAAAATGCAAAAATTAGCCGGGCATGGTGGTGCATGCATGTAGTCCCAGCTACTTGGGAGGCTGAGGCAGGATAATTTCTTAAACCTGGGAGTTGGAAGTTGTGGTGAGCCGAAATCATGCCACTGCACTCCCGCCTGGGTGATAGAGCAAGACTCTGTCTCAAAAAAAAAAAAAAAAAAAAAAAAAAAAGAAAGTGGAAATTGCCTTCATTAAGGAAAAAAACAAACATAAAAATAACAGCAACCATAAGAAAGTGAAAAGATAAACAAAAGCAATAGAATGAGATCAAGTATTTGCAAATCATTTATCAGATAAGGGACTTGTATCTAAAATATAAAAAGAACTTTTATAACTCAATAATAACAATAAAAAATGGGCAAGAGATTTGAATAGACATTTCACCAAAGAAGATACATAAATGGCCATCAAATACATGAAAACATACTGTTTGGGGTTCACTTAGCTTCTTGCATCAATCAGTTAATATCTTTTGCCAAATTTGGGAGTTTTTCAGGCATTGTTTCTTTGAGTACATTTTCCTGCTCCATTCTCTCTCTCTTCTTCTTAAATGCTGATGACAGAACGTTAGTTAGCTCTTTTGTTACAGTCCCATAAATGAACCTCTGTTCATTTTTTTCAGTCTATTTTTCTCCGTTGTCCAGATTGAGTAATTTCTCTTCTACCTTTAAGTTCGCTGAATCTTTCCTCTGTCCTCTCCAATCTGCTGTTAAGCCAATCTATTGAGTCTTCAATTTTCATGATTATATTTCTAAGTTCTAAAATTTCTATTTGATTCTTCTTCTTCTTCTTTTTTTTTTTTGGAGATGGAGTTTCACTGTTTTTGCCCAAGCTGAAGTGCAATGGTACGATCTTGGCTCAC
This sequence comes from Homo sapiens, assembly GCF_000001405.40. Taxonomy (NCBI): domain Eukaryota; kingdom Metazoa; phylum Chordata; class Mammalia; order Primates; family Hominidae; genus Homo; species Homo sapiens. The sequence goes on from NT_167247.2 coordinate 3,575,484, forward strand.
TGCAACCTCTGCCTCCCAGGTTCAAGTGATACTCCTGCCTCAGCCTCCCAAGTAGCTGGAATTACAGGCACCTGCCACCATGCCTGGCTAACTTTTTGTATTTTTAGTAGAGACGGGGTTTCACCATGTTGGCCAGGATGGTCTTGATCTCTTGACCTCATGATCCGCCCACCTCCGCCTCTCAAAGTGCTGGGATTACAGGTGTGAGCCACCTCACCCGGCCTGATTCTTCTTTATATCTTCCATTTCTTTGCCAAAATTTCTGGTTTTCATTTGTTTCAAGAGAGTTTGTAATTGCTTGTTAAATGTTGTTTTTTTTTTTTTCCTTTTCTTTTTGAGACAAGGTCTTGCTCTGTTGCCCAGGCTGAAGTGCAATCATGGCTCACTGCAGCCTTGACCTCCTAGGCTCAAGTGATCCTCCCACCTCAGCCTTCAAGTAGCTGGTACCACAAGTACACACCACCATGTCTGGCTAATTAAAAACATTTTTTTTTTCCAAGGGGCTGGGACCACAAGTACACACTACCATTCCTGGGTAATTATTATTATTATTATTATTATTATTATTTTGTTGTTGTTTTTTGTAGAGACAGCATTTCCCTATGTTGCTGGTCATGAACTCCTGGGCTCAAGTGATCCTCCCACCAGGCATGAGCCACTGCACTTGGCTGTAAAGCTTTTTTTTTTTTTTGAGACAGAGTCTCACTCGGTTGCCCAGGCTGGAGTGCAGCAGTGCAATCTTGGCTCACTGCAACCTTCACCTCCCAGGTTCAAGTGATTCTCCTGCCTCAGTCTCTCGAATAGCTGGGATTATAGGCATCTGCCACCATGTCTGGCTAATTTTTGTATTTTTAGTAGAGATGGGGTTTTGCCATGTTGGCCAGGCTGGTTTTGAACTCCTGACCTCAAGTGATCTGCCTACCTCGGCCTCCCAGAATGCTGGGATTACAGATGTGAGCCAATGTGCCTGGCCTGTGAAGCTTTTTTATTTTTATTTTTATTTTTTTTGAGATGGAGTGTTGCTCTGTCACCCAGGTTGGAGTGCAATGGCATGATCTCAGCTCACTGCAACCTCTGCCTCCGGGTTCAGGTGATTCTCCTGCCTCAGCATCCCTAGTAGCTGGGATTACAGGCATGCACCACCATGCCCAGCTAATATTTGTATGTTTAGTGGAGACGGGGTTTCGCCATGTTGGTCAGGCTGGTCTCGAACTCCTGACCTTGAGTGATCCACCCGCCTTGGCCTCCCAAAGTGCTGGGATTACAGGAGTGAGCCAATGTGCCTGGCCTGTAAAGCATTTTTAATACTTGTTTTAAAATACTTGCTTGCTTTAAATATGCATCAGGTGATTCCAACATTTAAGTCAACTTGGGTGTTGATGTCTGTTAATTGTCTTTTCTTATTCAAGATTTTCCCGATTCTTGGTATGACAAGTGATTTTCGCTTGCATCCTGCACATTTTGGATTGTATGTTATGAGACTCTGGATCTTATTTAAGTCTGTTTTAGTGATCATCCTTTGACACCGCACTAGTTGAGCAAAGAGGGTGCTGCCTCACTGCTGTCAGGTTGGGGGAGAGGCCCAGGTTCCTCACCTGGCCTCTGTGAACACTTGAGGGAGCCGTGCTCCTTGTTATTGCTAGGTGTGGATGGGGGTTCAGGCTTCCCACTAGGTCTCTGCTGACACACCCTGGCTGAGAGAGTAAGAAGCACTTCATTCCTGTTCCCCACGGGGTCTCCAGTGACACTGGTTGTGATGGAGGGGGATTTCATACCACCAGGCGGGGCTGAGAGTCCCAGCTTCCTACTTGCTGGGGAGGGGTGCCTCAGCTGGGTGGGAGTTGATGGCTAAACTCCCCACTCATCCTTTATTGGCAGATATGGGGGTGAGAGTGTTGTTTTTTTTTTTTTTTTTTTTTTTTTTTTTGCCTGAAATAGAGTAGTCATTGTCTAAAAGTTTTGTCTTTCCAGGATGTTCCTTTGTTGGTCCTTTGGCCAGAGACTTTCCGGGATTTTTTTCATCTTCCTGTTGGAGTTTCCTGGTTGCTGGCTTTTCCAGCACCCAGTCTTGTATATATGAGGCAAAAGCCAAACCCAGGGAACTCACCACTATATTGTTTTTTCGGGTCTTGAGATTCCTAGCCAGTCTGCCTTCTCTGCATCTTTCAGGATCTTCTTATGTTTGTTTTATATATACCATCCAGGATTGTAGCTGTATTTAGCAGGAGGAATCAGAAGAGCATCTACGTCATCTTGTCTTGGAGCTTGAAGGCAGCTGGTTAAGTCCTTAAAACATTCAACACAGATTTTCCATATGACTCAGCAATTGGGTTCCTAGGTATCTACCTAAGAAAAATGAAAGCAGGCCGGGTGTGGTGGCTCACGTCTGTAATCCCAGGAATTTGGGAGGCCGAGGTGGGCGGATCACCTGAGGTCAGGAGTTTGAGACCAGCCTGACCAACATGGAGAAACCCCATCTCTACTAAAAATACAAAAATTAGCTGGGCATGGTGGTGCATGCCTGTAATCCCAGCTACTTGGGAGGCTGAGGCAGGAGAATCACTTGAACCCAGGAGGCGGAGGTTGCGGTGAGCTGAGATTGCGCTGTTGCACTCCAGCATGGGCAACAAGAGCAAAACTCTGTCTCAAAAAAAAAAAAAAAAAGAAAGAAAAATGAAAGCGTATTGTCCACACAAATACTTGTATAAGAATTCATAGCAGTGTTATTCACAATAGGTATGAAGTAAAAACAACCAAATATCCATTGATCAGTGAATTGGTGAACAAAATATGGTGTGTCCCTTTGGGAGGCTGAGGCAGGTGCATCACTTGAGGTCAGGAGTTTGAGACCAGGCTGGCCAACATGGTGAAACCCCGTCTCTACTAAAAATACAAAAAATTTAGCTGGGCATGGTGGTGCACCCCTGTAATCCCAGTTACTTGGGAGGCTGAGGCAGAAGAATTGCTTGAACCTGGGAGGCAGATGTTGCAGTGAGCTGAGATCACACCACTGCACTCCAGCCTGGGTGACAGAACAAGACTCTATCTCAAAAAAAAAAAAAAAAAAAAAAGGTGTGTCCATACAATGGAATACTATTCAGCAATAAAAATGAATGAAATATGGATACATGCTGCAAAATGAATGAACCTCAAAAACATTATGCTAAGTGAAAGAAGCTAGACTCAAAAGGCTGCAGGAATCCACTTACATGAAATGTCTAAAATAGGCAAATCTATAGAGACAGAAAGATTAGTGATTGTCTAGGGCTCAGGTTTGGAATGGGGGCTAAGTGCAAAGGAATATGAAATTTCTTTTTGGTGTGATGGAAATGTTTCAAAATTAGATTGTGGTGATAGTTTTACAACTCTATAAATATACTAAAATCATTGAATTGTACACTTAAAATGGATGATTTTTTTTTCTTTGAGATGGAGTCTCGATCTGTTGCCCAGGCTAGAGTGCAGTGGTGCCATCTTGGCTCACTGCAATCTCCACCTCCCAGGTTCAAGCAATTCTCTTGCCTCAGCCTCCCGAGTAGCTGAGATTACAGGGGGCCACCACTACACCTGGCTAATTTTTGTATTTTTAGTAGAGACGGGGTTTCACCGTGTTGGCCAGGCTGGTCTCGAACTCCTGACCTCAAGTGATCCATCCACCTCGGCCTCCCAAAGTGCTGGGATTACAGCTGTGAGCCACTGCGCCTGACCAAAGTGGGTGAATTTTATGGTGTGTAAATTATGCCTCAATAAATCTGTGAGAGGAGAGGAGGTAGAGACATTTTGTGTTGTAGAATTTCTTAAGGAATTTTGCTGTCAAGAGCTGCAGAGAAAGTATGTCTAGCGAGACAGCATATGAGGTCATGAGAAATTTTAAAAAACTCATTATTTCAGAAAATTCATACACATAAATAGAGATAATGAAAAAGAACTCCCATATACCCGTGACCCAGATGCAATAATCATTAATTCAGGACCACTGATGCCTGTAATCCTAGCACTTTGGGAGGCTGAGGCAGGTGGATCACCTGAGGTCAGGAGTTCAAGACCATCCTGGCCAACGTGGTGAAACCCCGTCTCTAATAAAAAATACAAAAATTAGCCGGACATGGTGGTGCACGCCTGTAATTCCAGCTACTAGGGTGGCTGAGGCAGGAGAATCACTTGAACTCAAAAGGCGGAGGTTGCAGTGAGTCAAAATGGCATCACTGCACTCCGGCCTGGGCAACAGAGCGAGACACTGTCTAAAGAAAAAAAAAATTCAGGACCACTCTGGTTCCATCTCTACTCCCAACCTCCATACCAGATTATTTTAGAACAAATCCCAGATATGATATGATATGATATGACATGATATGATATGATATTGTATCATTTCTATCACAAATATTTCAGTATCCTAAAAGATAAGAACTCTTAAATAATATAACCATTTTGCTAGTATTATTTCTGAAAAGTTTACATAATTTCTTAATATTATCAAATATGCAATGTTTAGTTTTCCCAAATTCTCCATTAAATATATATACAGTTTGAATCAATATCAAAACAATATCCGTGCATTGTATTCAGTTGATATGTGTCTTAAGTCTCTCTTTCTCTTCTTTGAAGTGGAATTCACATTTTAGAACAGTTTTAGATTTCTAGAGAAACTGAGAGGATAGTACAGAGTATTCCCATGTGCCCTCCCTGGATTCAGTGTCCCTTATTAATAACATCTTACGTGAGTGTGGGTATATGTGTTATAATTAATGAATCAATATTGATAAATTGGTCGGGCATGGTGGCTCACGCCTGTAATCCCAGCACTTCGGGAGGCTGAGGTGGGCGGATCACCTGAGGCCAGGAGTTTGAGACCAGCCTGGCCAACATGGTGAAACCCTCTCTCTACTAAAAATACAAAAATTAGCCAGGCGTGGTGGAGCACACCTGTAATTCCAGCTACTTGGGAGGCTGAGGCAGGAGAATCACTTGAACCTGGGAAGTGGAGGCTGCAGTAAGCTGAGATCATGCCACTGCACTCCAGCCTGGGCAACAGAGCAAGACTCTGTCTCAAAAAAAAAAAAAAGATAAATTATTATTAAAGTCCATACTTCATTCATTCAGATTGTCTTAGTTTTCACCTGGTGTCTTTTTGTCTGTTCCAGGATTCCATATTTCTTTTCCTTTTTTTTTTGAGTCGAAATTTTGCTCTTGTTGCCCAGGCTGGATTGCAATGGTGTGATCTTGGCTCACTGCAACCTCCGCCTCCTAGTTTCATGCAATTCTCCTGCTTCAGCCTCCCGAGTACCTGGGACTACAGGTGCCCACCACCATGCCCGGCTAATTTTTTTGTATTTTGAGTAGAGACGGGGTTTCCCCATGTTGGACAGGCTGGTCTCGAACTCCTGGCCTCAAGTGATCTGCCCGCCTCGGCCTCCCAAAGTGCTGGATTGCAAGCGTGAGCCACCACGCCTGGCCTTCCAGGATACCATATTTCATGTATTTGTCATGTCTCTTTGGGCCCTCTTGGTTGTGACAGTTTTGCCAGTGTTCCTTGTTTTTGGTGACCTTGATAGTTTTGAGGTGTACTAGTCAGGTGTTATGCAGGCTGCCCCTCTTTTGGAATTTGTTTGGTGATTTTCTCATGGTTAGACTTGGAGCTTAAGTCTCTTTAAATCTTTTTTTACCCCCTTGACATTTATTTGTTGAAGAAATGGCTTGTTTCCTATAGAACTTTCCACATTCTGAATTTTGCTAATTGAATCACTGTACCATTTACCATATTCCTCTGCCTCCCCCATTTTCTTCTTAAACTGGTAGTTAGATTTAAAGACTTTATATGATTCATGATCTATTTTCTGGCAAGGCTACGTCATAGGTGGTATTGTGCTGTGTTTCTATCAGGAGGCATAGAATTCTAGTTGGTAGCCATGATGAGCATTGCTAGATCCATTATTTTCTTAGGGATTATAAAATGCAGATATTCTAAGTCTATTATTCTGTCTAAACTGATTTCATTTATACAGATTATGTCCCATCTACTATTTTGACATGACTTATTTAGGAAAGGCAGATTGATGCCATTCTTTCCCCTTTATTTAGCAGCTTTCAGAATAATGAGTTTGTTCTCTAGCATCTGCCAAAGGTAACCAATGACCCTTTATTTAGTATCACTATGAGTCAGTTGATTTGAATGTGTTTTAATCCGTTGCTATCACTATTTTTACTGAGGCTCCATTTATGCCATATTTGGGCAGTGCGAGCCTCAAGTTGATAAAATACTAATATCTTTGATGCCTTTCTTGTTTTCTGGTGATAAGATGTTCAGGCTCATCTTGTACATAAGCTGCTATATGTTTCTTTTTAGAGGAAATGGTACTAGGAGACCTCAGTTTGGGTGCTGAGGAAGGTTTGTATTTATTCATTTTTTATTTTCTAAGATAGGAGGAATAACATATTTGCTTGCTGATGGGAGTGAGCCACTGCAGAGGGAAAGGCGGTGTGCAGGAGATGGGGTATTGCTGGAGGAATGGCCCTGAGTAGGTGAGAGGCAGTGGGGTCTAGTGCCCAAGTGGAGGAGTTGGTTGTTAGTTGAAAGTGAGGAAGATGAGCTGAGCACATTGGCTCATGCCAGTAATCCCAACATTTTGGGAGGCTGAGGAGGGTGGATCACCTGAGTCAGGAGTTTGAGACCAGCCTGGGCAACATGGTGAAATCTCGTCTCTACTAAAAATACAAAATTAGCCGGGTGTGGTGGTGCATGCCTGTAATCCTAGCTAATTGGGAGGCCGAAGCAGGAGAATCACTTGAACCCAGGAGGCAGAGGTTGCGGTGAGCCGAGATTGCGCCATTGCACTCCAGCCTGGGCCATACAGTGAGACTCTGTCTCAAAAAAAAAAAAAAAAAAAAAGAAAGTGAGGAGGATGGAGGCTGTGTAATGAAATACAAGAAAGTGTGAAATAGTTGCCTTGAAATTCTGTGAGTGAGTGGCCAGGAAAATGCCGTATACTTCTTTTTCTTTTCTTTACTCTAATTCCATCACAGGTTATCTGCTGGGTGTTTCTAATGGCCAACTTGAAGTTTGTAAATGTTTGATGAGCATGGTTGAGTATTTTTATCCAACCACTTCAGCTGCTTGGATGCAGGCATGGAGTCGGTGGGAAGTTGGAGGTAGCCAGAGCTAGGCTTTTGACAGGCAGGCATGATGGAGGGAATGAGGGAAATAGGAGTTGAGATGCAAGATAGCTCTTACAACAATGCTTCATGAAACCTAAGCGGGATAAGGTTGGGAGGGCACAGGATCTCATAATGTCAGGGTCAAAGGGGTTGGAGGTCTGGAGAAGTGAAAATATTGTTTGATCTTTGGAGGTGGACACTAGAGGGAGTGATCTGCAAGGACAGGAAGGGGGATACTTAAAACTGAGATTATGGAGAGGTTTCAGGTACAGGTACAGGTAATGACAAGGTCTAGGTATGACTGTGGAGTGAGTGGCTGTGGTAGGGGGAGGACAAGATCACTGGAGGTGAGAAGGTCAAAAGGTCAAGGTGAGAGGCCAGGGTGTTGGGTGGAGTGTCTTGGTTGATAGAGAAGCCACAAAGAATGGTAGCAGGAGTGGGATGAAGAGAAAGACAGTGACCCAGGGACTGAAAATTTTAGTGAATTGTGAAGAGTGAGGAGTGACTGGAAGGCTGTTAAATGCTGGCAACAGGAGCAGCTGAGGGTGACGTTGGAGGCCACATGTACTGCAAAGCAGCTAAGGCCCTGCATTACTCTTGACCACCAGAGAAAAGTTCATGTATTCATTCATTTATTCAAGCAGTAAGTTAACCAAGCTTGACTATCTACCCTGTGCTTAGCAAAACCCTCCCTGCCCTCACAGAATGTATATGTATTCATTACAAAATTGTCCTTATAAAGTCAGGACATCTTCAGGACACTTCCAGTTAATCAGACACCCCCGTCAATCCTTCTAGTTAACTGACAGTTTTTTTGGTTGTTTGTTTAGCAGTGAATTTTAATGAATAAAACATCTGGGATTAAAACTCTTTTTTTTCCTCCATTTTTTGAGATAGGGTCTTGCTGTGTTGCCCAGGCTGGAGTGCAGTGGTGCGATCTTGGCTCACTGCAACCTCTGCCTCCCAGGTTCAAGCGATTCTCCTGCCCTAGCCTCCCAAGTAGCTGGGACTATAGGTGCACACCACCACACCTGACTAATTTTTGTATTTTTAGTAGAGATGGGGTTTTGTTATGTTGGCCAGGCTAGTCTTGAACTCCTGACCTCAAGTGATCTGCCCGCCTTGGCCTCCCAAAGTGCTGGGATTACAGGCATGAGCCACTGTGCTCAGCCATATTAAAACTCTTGTGTAATAAATTCGCAGATATGGAAATCCTTCATTTTCCACAAAAAAACCCCATCCTGTGTAGATACCAGGTGACCTCATCACAAGAGTCAAAATGAAAGTGCTGTCAGCGTGGTGAGAGAGGTGGTGATGTCAGATCACCTGTGGAAGTGAAAGGACCTTGGAGTTGAAAGGAATCTTCAGGATGGTCTTGCCTCTGGCTTTCAAACTTTTTCTTTTCATCATGTCAAATGTAGAGGAATTTTGTCCATCAAACTCATATCTAGAATCCCAAAATAGAGAAGAGATATAGGATCAGCGCTCTGGCTGAGTCTTTCCCCTCCTGAGACCCCACCCCTACCCAGAGTGACCCTTCAAGGTTGCCATGGGATGTAGGATGCTGGGGAACACAGCCTGGAACTGTTCACTTGGTCCCATTTCTTCTTTTACTGAGGCCCAGAGGGGAGACGCGACCTGCCCAAGGTGACACAGGCTTGGGACCCATGCCCAGTGTCCTGCTTGCTGGTCAGGAGTGGCTGAGGAAAGCAGAGCAGGGGTGAGGTGGGAGGAAAGGGCAGGGCCGCACTGCCTTGGTTCTGGAGCCCTCGCTGATAGCCTTGGGCCTTTTTCACTTGTTTTTCTAACTTTGGGGACAAAAGATTTTCTTTCTTTCTTTCTTTCTTTCCTTCCTTCCTTCCTTCCTTCCTTCCTTCTTTCTTTCCTTCCTTCCTTCCTTCATTCCTTCTTTCCTTCCTTCCTTCCTTCCTTCTTTCTTTCCTTCCTTCCTTCTTTCCTTCCTTCCTTCCTTCTTTCTTTCCTTCCTTCCTTCCTTCCTTCTTTCTTTCTTTCCTTCTTTCGCAACAAAGGCATGATAAGAAATTTTTTGGTGGGTAGAGCAGAAGAGTATATAATAGTGAAAAAAACACTTAGCTTAGGAGTTTGACACAGTGTGATGTTGGTCAGACTAGCTAACCTCTCTGAGCCTCACTCAGTTCCTTCATCTGTAAAGAGGTTGGGGCTGGCGTGGGTGAGTGGGTGGGTGCTGGATGAAGAGGGAAGGAGATGGACAGGAGGCACCTGGCGGACTTGGCCAGTGTCAGCTGCCGTCCTAGGAGACTCTGGGCTGGGGCGGCATTACTGGTTATCCCTTTCCTGGGGAGGTTGACAATTAACCCTGGAAACAGTCTTTAAAATTTTTACTGGACACATATAATTATGGATTGACAATCTTCCATTTTAAATTTAGAAACTACAGGCAAAAGTTAAAGATATCACAAATGAGTTTTTTATTTTTATTTTTTCATGACAAGGAAATTAGTTGTGTGCTGGGGTCTAGTATGGGGAAAGAATCTATTAAAATATATTTAAAAAGGTAAATCCAAAAATTTATAATTACAAGAGTGAATGACAAGATGATTGTCAATAAAATTAAATAAGCAAAACAACTGCTTGCCCTTTAGAAAATGTATCCAAGCTCCAGGGATCCAAAATGTTTATGAATCTGTGGATGTCTGTGTGTGTGTGTGTGCGTGTATATTTTTTTTTCGTTGTTGTTTCTCTGCCTCTCTCGCCAAACTATATGGAGCCCTGGCTAAGGATAGAGGACTGTCAGATGTGTTTTCAGGGGAATCGCTGTTTTCTTCACATCAGGGGGAAGTTCTTAGGCAGCTGAAAGCAGGGGCTCAGGTGGGCATGGGGGGGTGGGAGGGCTGAGGTTTAGGATGGGAGGGTGGGTGAGAGCTAGTAAGGGTGGGTGGGGCACTGGGGGTGGGCAGCGGGTACTTGGCTAGGGGTTCAGGACCTGTCTCAGGGCTGCTGTCCAGGGGGGTGGAGGAAGGGGTAGTGAAGGGGTCAGAGCACTCAAGATGCGCAGTGTAGGCAGGGGACAGGCTGCGGTGTGTGAAGAGGGTAGCCTGAGGTGGTGAGACTTGCTGATCACCCAGCTGGGCTGCCTTGGTCTACTCACAACTGGTCTTCCCTGTGTGTTTGGTAAACACCAAAGGAGGTAAACTCTCCAATCCTGGCCTGTGCTGATGGTGAGGCGGGAGAAGGCTTCCCTGGGTCCCAGGTCCCCAACCTGGCACAGTCATGGGTCAAGGGCTGCCTGTTCCTCACCTGCCTTCCTCACGGGGCTTCTGAGCCTAGCCTTGCTTCGGGCATTAGGAGAGTCTGCCTGGAAGGCTCTCTGGCCCCCAATGCCCTGCCCTCCAAGGCTCCCAGTCTAGGTGGGAGAGACATACAGAACAAATAGCATCGTGGGGGTGGTGGGAGGTGGTGTGAACATGTCTCCTGCAAGCTCTGGGAAGAAGCTGTGGCCACACAATGGAATGTCTCCAGCCCTGACCTCTCCTTGGAACTCAGACCTTTCTGCCTCTCTCGCCAAACTATACGGAGCACCTGGTAAGGATAGAGGACTGTCGGATGTGTTTTCAGTGGAATCACTGTTTTCTTCACATTCTTCACATCAGCCACCTCCTCCACTCCCCACCAGGATGTCAACTGAAACATGTCTCAGTCCAAATTCTTTATTCCCTGCTTCTGCAGCTATTCCCTCCCTCCCCGCAATCCTGGCACAGCGTATTGCTTAGGCTGGACTACGCTGTGAATGTGTCTCCCAAAATTCATGTGTTGGAAATTTAATTCCCATGCAACTGTTGGAAGGTGGGGCCTTTTGGGAGGGCCTTTTGGCAGGGCCTGCATGAATGGATTAATGTCATTATAAAAGGACTTGATGGAAAGAGTTCATCCCTTTTGCCCTTCCACTCCCTGCCACGTGAGGACACAGTGTTCCTCCCCTCCAGAGGATGAAGCAACAGATGCCACATTGGAAGCAGAGAACAGCCCTCACCAGGCAGTAGTGCCTTGATCTCAGGTTTTCTGGCCTCTAGAACTGTGAGAAAAGACATTTCTTTTCTTTTTTCTTTTTTTTTTTTTTTTAAGACAGAGTCTTACTCTGTTGCCCAGGCTGGAGTGTAGTGGCATGATCTTGGCTCACTGCAACCTCCGCCTTCCGGGTTCAAGCGATTTCCGGCTAATTTTTGTATTTTTAGTAGGGACGGGGTTTCACCATGTTGGCCAGGCTGGTCTCAAACTCTTGACCTCAAGTGATCCGCTCGCTTCAGCCTCCCAAAGTGCTAGGATTACAGGCATGAACCACCGCGCCCGGCCTCGTTTTGCTATTCTTCAACTTCGCATGTTTGGATTGCTACAGCTTGAGGTCTTTAGTGTCTGGTTTCCTTCGCTCCCTTCCACGGTTCTAAGATTGTTTTCTGCATCCTCCGTACCCCTCCCTCGGTGTCTTCCTGCTGGGAACTGCTCTTTCTGTCTGCCACGTGGTGGCCACAAGGGGGCAGCAGAGGCTGAGGAAAATCTGGTGAGACCAGGTTGGGGGCCTTTTCCCGGGCCCACGAGTTACTCCCCCCCGCCCACGGAGCACCTTCTGTCCGGGCGCCTCCCAGGCCGCTGCTGCTTCTTGGTTCTGCTTCCTTTTCTGAGACCCGCTGCTTTAGAGTAGATTTCTGGAGCAGAGATTTGGAGCAAGGATCTCCAAACTCTTTTGATCACACACTCCATTCAGTAATATATTTTGAACATGCAGCTAACAAACATGTGCAAACATAATGCAGGTTGAAAGAACAAACGCAAATCACATTAAAAGGGCATAAGATTAAAGATTTTATAATAGTTCTAATATGTTCTCTGCCTTCTTTCCTGTCTCTCCAGATCCCTGGAGGACCCCTAGGGCTGGTGCCCCTAATCTGGTGGCCCCCTGTTTAGAGCTCAACTGAGCTTTGATGTAGACCTGGCCCCTGTTAGGGTTTGGCCACACGACCTGTGACCCTGGGCAGGTTTCCTCAGATCATCGAGGCTCTGTCTCTCAGCTGTAAAGTGAGGACAGTAAGGACCATCTCATGGTATTAAGCTAAAACATTCACGGAAATAAATATGTAATGCTCAGAGTAAGATGCCACCTAGTGAACAGTGGGCCTGAGTATTTGGTGGTGGTCATTAGAGAGCAGAGGCGCTGGCCTCAGGGTTCAGCCCACAGTTCTGCCTGTGGAGAGGAGACTCAGTGACAAGAGAGAAAAAAGTGTCCGGCATCCTGGGGACTGAGAATCTGCCTCTCAGGGTTGGACAGGGCAGGGCCTCTTCTGCCTCCAGCACCCCAGGCCTCTCTCCTCTGATTCTATCAGGGACGGAGGCCAAGGTTGGAGACCCCTAGGCCTTTTCACCTAACTTGGTTTTCAAATTCCTCCCACTAGGACTTGCCTGTTTCAGCCTTAACCATGGTTGGGCCTGACCTACACGGGATTGAGAGGGTCAGTAAATTCGTCCCCACCACTGACTGGGTCACCTACCTGGGCAGTACACATGCTGCTCTCGGCAACTGTTTCTTCTCCTGACACTTATGATTTTATATACAAATTGTTGGAAGTTATGTCGTAATATAGTCCTTTTGGTAAGAGTATATATGGTCAAGGATACTGTGACTGAATTTGAAGAGTAAATAATACAGCTCTGTATTGAGCTATATAATGACTAGGGCTCTCTTTATTTTGGGGACAGAGTGAGAACTTCTTCACTTATAAGGTGGCTTTGTCTTGATTGGTGAAAATAGAGAATTATTTCATTGTTGTATAAAAGTTCAGGCCAGGCACGGTGGCTCATGCCTGTAATCCCAGCACCTTGGGAGGCCAAGGCAGGCAGATCACCTGAGGTCGGGAGTTCCAGACCAGCCTGGCCAACATAGCAAAACCCCATTTCTACTAAAAATACAAAAATTAGCTGGGTGTGATGGTGGGTGCCTGTAATCCCAGCTACTTGGGAGGCTGAGGCAGGAGAATCGCTTGAACCCAGGAGGCAGAGGTTGCAGTGAGCTGAGATTGTGCCGCTGCACTCTGGCCTGAGTGACAGGGCAAGACTCTGTCTCAAAAAAAAAAAAAAAGTTCAAATATGTGTAATATGAAAACTGTGCAGCCAAAGGTGTGACTGGTGCTCAATATTATTTTATTGCATCTTTGTTCCAAATCCACTCCATCTTTGTCCTGCCTTGTGGTTCTGGAGCTGGACCCTATACACATTTCTTCTTCCATTGGGCACAACGTTAGACTTTGACAGTAAATTGCACTGGAAGGAATACTGCAAGACATAGCAGAGAAAACAGCTTCATTCTAGTTCTGGTACTTTTTTTTGAGATGGAGTCTCACTCTGTCACTCAGGCTGGAGTGCAGTGGCGTGATCTCGGCTCACTGAAACCTCTGCCTCCCAGGTTCAAACGATTTTCCTACCTCAGCCTCCTGAGTAGCTGGGATTACAGGTGCACACCACCACACCTGGCTAATTTTGTATTTTTAGTAGAGACAGGGTTTCACCATGTTGGCCAGGCTGGTCTCGAACTCCTGACCTCAGGTGATCTGCCTGCCTTGGCCTCCCAAAGTGCTAGGATTACAGGCGGGAGCCACCGCGCCTGGCCTGCCAGGCTTTCTTAATATGCCCTACCACCATGAAACTTATATTGGGGAGGAGACTCAGATAGGGGCCAATGGGGGCAAGTTTGAGCCTTGCCAGGTTGATACTTGGGCACTGAGCAGAGTGACTAGTGTCTGTGTTTTGACATGTGTGTATAACTCCTGTTGGAATGGGAAACGTTAATTTATTTCCCCCACACAACCTGTTGGGCTGCCTCTTGCAAAACTGGGGCCTTTTGCCTTTGGTTCCATGAAAAGAAAAGGAATGTTTTTCTTTTGTAAAGTGGCTTGGCCCCCACAGCTATGGTGCAGCAAGCAGGGTCATCAAAAGCCACTCTGCTCTTCTGGAAGCAGCTGAGAAAGGGAAGCCATAAACCTGACAAGCTGGTAAAAAGCTAATTTCTTACCAGCTAGCCTCTGGCCTTTCTCTCTCTGTGCAAATGAGTTGAGTGAACAATAAAAGTCACTGTTTGTCTCCTCTGCAAAGTTTTGATTAATAGGGAAGAAGATTTGTGTGACTAGTCTTAGGTTGTAGTGAATCTTGTGTACTTTTGCTACTTTGAACTATAAATATTTGTATTGTTTGGCCCCTTCTCAGAAATCACCTTTTTTGCCATCTTCCTTTGTCTTTGCCTTTTTGTGTCGTTCTGTCATGGAGAAGGATACCATAGGATAGAACACAGGCCTAGGATCCCTGTAAGCCTGCTGTTCAAGCCAGCCCTGCAGACTGGTCGGTTACAAACTTTGCTGCAGGTCCTTCGAACAAAAACTGGATGAGATTTCCCTGGTCTTGTTTTATGTGGTTGAGAGCTTGACTTTGTAACCATGTAGGGGTACTCTCTCTCTTGATCTCTGCCATCTGGAGGATGGAAATTCTTGGGTTCAAGTCAGGTGGCTGGTCTGAGAGGACTGGGAGTCTGAGACACATTAGCATACTCTTCGTCCTGAATGTGTCGAGCCCTTAGGTGAGTTTTGTCTTAAAACGTCCCATCTCTGCTGGTTGGATTTATTAGGACAAAAAAACAGTCCTATCTCTACAGGACTTTTGTTGTATTTTGCTATCTTAAACCCATTTCCAAGAGGGAATACTTGGGGATGCCTCCTCTAGGAATACTTCTTGCTGCTTATATGGCAAAAACCTGGAAAATTACCATCTGCAATTTAAAAAAGGTGTTTGAGTCTCTATTGGAACTAAGTACACCATTGAAAGAAAAAGGATTTTAGAGATCTCTTATCTAAAACAATTGAAGGAAGGTTAAACAGTAGTGTCGTGGGTAGCCTTAAAAATTCTCTTGAGCAGTTAAAATCATTCGCAAGCTTGAAAATGACTGCTCTAGATTCTTTCTGGGAAGAGCACTGGCAACCACCCTATGCTGTAGCACAGTAGCTAAATCTCTGCCCTTTCACTATGGTGGCCTGGGATCACTTCCCAGCTTAGGGAATGCGTCCTTTCTGGTTTTGTATTTGTGGGACTTTTTGCCATTCATTGATGGACAGCTTCTGATTTCCTGTCTTGAATTTTCCTTGCTCTGAGATACCTTTGGGGTGATTCTAGATCTTGTAAAAAACTGCTTGGCATCTCTTTGGAGATACCTTGTGCATCTGTGGTTAAGTCATAACCCTAGTTAAGGCTCATTGGTTTCAGGTGGGAGGTTATCCTTGGTAGAGAGTTCAAAAGCCAGAAATATCAGCTGTTTGTTCCAGCTAAAAACTGGTAATAAGAGATCTGAAAGAATTTTCTTCAAGAGCTCTATAGTTAAAAGTCAACTTAATTAAAACTGATTTAGAATATATGTGTACAGATATTGTTTTAAAGCCTCTGCTCTCTCTCTGTAAAAACATCTTAAGCAACTGAATTCTGTCTGCTTAAATTTTAATCTTGGTATGTAAAAGCTAGGAAAGAAATATACTTTTAGAGATGGCTATTGACAGTTGTTTACAGTGAATAGTTATTACTACAGGGTGGTACTGCTTTTTTTTTGCACATTTAGATAAGAAAAGCATGCTTTCGGGCACCTAGAAGGTATGGAATGAGGGTTAAGACTCCCATGGAGCATTAAGTGATTACAGAATAGGCTGATTGCTATAGGGTTGCCCACCAGCCTCAGGGGAATGTCCTTGCAGTGAAGTGCACCGTAAAAGCATTGCACTGTCTTGTCCTGCGGTGTTCTCCTCTCTTGAGGACCCAGGATTCAGTGTAAAAGTTGGATCCTTAACTTTGGAGATCTGTTTTGCCTTCCAGCTGTGCCTGCTTATTAGGCCATAGAAACTGCATGCTTTCCTGGCCCTGTTCCTTAAAGGGCTCCACCCTAAAGCCAGTAATTCAATTAAGAAACTAACATCTTTAAAAAAATTTCAGTGGGCAAGTGTGTCTGTTTTCCTAACCATCTTTTTTCTTTTTCTTCTTTTGAGACAGGGTCTTGCTCTGTCACCCAGGCTGGAATGCAGTGGTGAGAACATAGCTTACTGCAGCCTTGACCTCCTGGGCTCAAGTGATCCTCCCAGCTCAGCCTCCCCAGCAGCTGAGACCACTACGCCCAGCTAATTTTTGTATGTTTTTGTAGAGATGGGGTCTTGCCATGTTGTCCAGGCTGGTCTTGAGCTCTTGGGCTCAAGTAATCCTCCTGCCTTGACCTCTCTAAGTGCTGGGATTACAGGCATGAGCCACCACACACAGCTTCCTGGCCATCTTAACTGAACTTTTACTCATACCATTTTTCCTTGGTTTAAATAAAATATGAATTTTCTATTTCATTTCACTTAAGAATTGTGCCTTTAGAAATGCAGATTTGGAGTGGCATAGCTGACAATTATTTAGGGCAGGGAACAGGTAATCAAGAGAAGGTCCAAAATGAGGAAGAGAAACTTTAAAAACTGGCACATGAAGAATCTTACAAATCTATAAAATCTGCTTCTGTGTGTTTGTATGTCTGTGTGTTTATACATGTCATGTGTTTGTGATATTTTCACTACCAAAATATATGAAAAAGCTGTAATTAATGGCTTTTAGAAAAATAAGCACTTAAATATTTTATCAGAGAAATATATATATGTATATATATACATATATATATGTATATATATATATATACATATATATATTTTAATACAGAGTCTCGCTCTGTTGTCAAGCTGGAGTGCAGTGGTGCAATCTCGGCTCACTGCAACCTCCACTTCCCGGGTTCAAACAATTCTCCTGTCTCAGCCTCCTGAGTAGCTGAGACTGCAGGTACACGCCACCATGCCCAGCTAATTTTTGTATTTTTAGTAGGGCCAGGGTTTCACCTTGTTGGCCAGGATGGTCTTGATCTCTTGACCTCGTGATCTGCCCACCTCGGCCTTCCAAAGTGCTTGGATTATAGGTGTAAGCCACTGTGCCAGGCCGAGAAATAGAAATTTTAAGGCCTTTTAGTTCATGTGACTTCAGTGATCTTTGGTAAATAAAGATGGTTTTAAAGATTATTAATAAAATCAAATAACATCTTCAAAATGTATGCATTTGGTCTAAATTAGTCAAAGGTTTTGCAAGGCTACATCAAGGATGCAGTTATATTATTGGGCCTAAGCCATAGGGTGAAAGATATGGCCCAGGTAGAGAGTGAGAGTGAAAAGAGGTCAGAACCTTGGGGACATCATCACTTAAGGAAGAGGAGCTTCCCAGGGACAATGAGGACCACTACATGGGAGGCAGGATGCTTCAAGGCACAGAATAGTTTGAATCATAAAAGGCTTCCTACCTCCAGGAAAAGGGAAGAGCAGTGTAGTTAATATTTAGATTTACTTTGCATTGCATTTAATGGAAAATAAAGGGGAAAAAAATGTATCTTGTTAGTCCTATATCATCTGTGCTGTGGTTAGAAAGATTAAAATGATAAGTCTTTTCAAGAAGTGGGGGGATAGCCCTAATTTTGGCAGGCCATAAGACATGTAGTGTCTTCTAGAACTAGGGGAAGAATTAAGGCCAACCAGCATCAAGAAAAATAAGCACCTTGTTTACTGGGTTTAGTATCTGAGTCGTTTTGATGCTTTAGTTGGAATAGAAACCAAATTGAAAAGTGCAATCGATGGCGAGGAAGTAAAGAGTATGGACATGATTCCTCTGAAAAGCTTGGTTATAAAGAAAAGGTGCAGGCCGGGTGTGGTGGCTCACGTCTGTAATCCCAGCATTTTGGGAGGCTGAGGTGGGTGGATCAACGAGGGCAGGAGTTTGAGACCAGCCTGACCAACATGGTGAATCCCCGTCTCTACTAAAAATACAAAAAATTAGCTGGGCATGGTGGCACGTGCCTATAATTCTAGCTACTCAGTAGGCTGAGGCAGGAGAATTGCTTGATTCTGAGAGGCGGATGTTGCGGTGAGCTTAGATCGCACCATTGCACTCCAGCCTGGGTGACAGAGCAAGACTCTGTCTCCAAAAAAAAAAAAAAAAAAAAAAAAGGTGAGAATAATAGGATATTTTGAAAGTTTTTTTTTTCTTTTTTGAAGATTGGAGAGTCTTGACTGCATTCATATGTGTTTGAGGGGTAAGGTATGGGCATGGGAAATAGGAAAGAGGTTGAAGATGAAGTATGGACTTCTGGGAGACAGGAGATGATGGAATCTAGAGCAGGATACTCAAAGGATGATCCGCAAATGGGTGGCACTGGCATCACCTGGAAGCTTGTTAGCAATACAAAATTGTTAGACTTCATCACAGATACAGTGAATTAGAATCTGTGGGTGTAGGGCTTTAGCAATCACCAGGTGATTTGGATACATGCTCAAGTTTGAAAATCACTTGGCTAGAGCACAGGTGAAGGGAAAAACTTTGTATGGAAGCAGGAATGCTACTTCCACTGAGATATGAGAGAAGGATGTGAGGATAGATCTCTGGGGCAATTAATAGAGTTGTGAGTAATTTAATTTTCTCTGTGTGTGTGTGTGTGTGAGAAATATTCAAAATAATAATGTCTTTTCAAGAGGTGGGGGGGATGGCCCTAATTGCGGCAGGCCATAAGACATGTAGTGTCTTCTAGAACTAGGGAAAGAATTAAGGCCAACAGCATCAAGAAAAATAAGAACTTTGTTTACTGGGTTTAGTACCTGAGTTATAATACAAAATTGTTAGACTTTATCCCAGATACAGTGAATTAGTATCTGTGAGAGTGGGGCTTTAGGAATGTACCAGGTGATTTTGATGCATGCTTAAGTTTGAGAATCACTTGGCTAGAGCACAGGTGAAGGGAGAAAATTTGTATGGAAAATCTGTATGGAAGCAGGAATGCCACTTCCACTGAGATATGAGATAAGAATGTAAGGTATGATCCTCTGCTGAGAATGAGGACTAGGAAGTGGTTTAAGAATATGCCTGAAGGTCTGCAAAAGCTGCCTTGGTCAATAGAAGGACATGCTTAAGTGAGCATGTTGGAGGCTCAGAGGAACATGGAGCTGAAGAATTGGGAGTCCAACATGCAGACTTTTTAATCTTCTGACAACTGAGAGGGCAGAGTTAATTTGATCTAGTAAGGGGATGTTTGAATTGTGGGTGCAACTGAATTGACTGATCATGGTTTAGGCTAGAAAGTTTCAGGTAATGTAGTCGGTAAGGGAAGGAAGCTGACTGACTGGAAACAAAAGGGGGAAGTGCCTGAAGGTACTAGTGAGGTCAAAGAAGAAAGGCAGTGGGAACTCTAGAGCACTAGAGCTGCAAAGATATTGGGTTTTGGTTAGAGAGTGAGATGCTGATGTGTAAGGTTTCAGAAGGGACCTCTTAGTCTCATTAAAATGCAAAGAAAGTATCCAGTAACAAAGGCAGAGTTCAAAACAAGGAAGAACTTGGAAGAACAGAGACAATTCAGAAGAGACTTTAAAACACAACTATAATCAATGAGAAATAAAAGCAGGTATCACATCTATGAAAGAACAAGATACTTAAACAAGGGAAGGATTAACAAGTAAACAGCTCCTGAAAACTTAAAATATGAGAGCTCAGAATAAGTATTTAATAAAGGTTTGGGAAGGTAAAGGAGAAGAAATATCCCAGCAAGTATAACAAAAACATAAAAACATAGGCAATAGGAAAAGCAAAGATGTGAAAATAGAGGATTGAGTTTATATCAGTTACTTCATTAAACTTTCCTATTATTTATAGTAATTTGTCTTTAGATTAATTTGTCTTTAGATTCTATGGTGTAATCATGTCCTCTGTAAATGTTGACAGTTTTATGTCTTCCTTTCCAATCTTTTGGTTTCTTTTTCTTATCTCATTATGCTGGTAATGACCAAAATACAATGTTGAATAAAAGTGATGATAGTAGTCTCCTTGTCTTCATAATTTTAATGAGAATGCATCCCAACTTTCTCTTTTTGGAAGATGTGTTTCAGAATAAAAAAAAATAGATACCCTTTATCAGGTTAAAGAAGTTCTCTTCTATTCCTGGTTTGTTTATTTATTTATATTATTTATTTATTTGAGATGGAGTTTTGCTCTTGTTGCCTAGGCTGGAGTGCAATGGCATGATCTCGGCTCACTGCAACGTCTGCCTGCTGGGTTCAAGAGATTCTCCTGCCTCAGCCTCCCAAGTAGCTGGGATTACAGGCAGGCATCACCATACCCAGCTAATTTTGTATTTTTAGTAGAGATGGGGGTTTCACCATGTTGGCCAGGCTGATCTTGAACTCCTGACCTCCGGTGATCAGCCCACCTCAGCCTCCCAAAGTGCTGGGATTGCAGGTGTGAGCCACTGCACCTGGCCTTATTCCTGGTTTATTAATTGTTTTTTTCTTTAAGCCAGGGATGAGCAAACTACCACCCAATGGGCCAAATCCAGTCTGCAACTTGTTTTTTTTTTGTATAGCCCATGAGCTAAGAATGATTTTTACATTTCATGTAAAATGTCACATAATATTTTGTGACATGTGAAAATTATATGAAATTCAAATTTAAGTCTCCATAAGTAAAGCTTTATTGGAACATGGCCATGTTCTTCATTCATTTATGTATTGTCTATGACTGCTTTTGTGCTATAAAGGCAGAGGTGAGTAGTTGTGATGGAGCCCATAGGGACCTACAAAGCCAAAGTAAACATTTGGCCCTTTATAGAAAAAGTTTACTGATTCTTGTTTTAAGTCAAAAATGGTATTGGGGGAAAGTTAGGTTCATGGATGTGCAGACCAAGAATAAGGGAAAGATCTCAGCCCTAACTCCTTCTTATACAGATTTTCAATAGGTCCATCTTTTTCAGGTTTACCCTCTTACCCTAGACTTTCTTAGTTTTTAGCTTTCCATTTCTAGAGATTTAGGGCTCTGTCTAAACAGTGGTTTTCCTTCTGTGTAGCATTTCTTTGGATGCACAATAGGTTCCACTTTCATCAGCTCCGCTTTTCACCAGTTTTCCAGAAAAGCATTACAGTCTGTTGCTGTTCCCTGTTCCCCTTGTCTGCCTGATTATTTATTTTCAGAGTCATTTTAGCAGTGTTTGGGGAGGGAGTTATACCTTTTATTCCTCAGGTATCACCACTCTTCTCTTCCTACCGCGAAACAGCACAGTGAAAGGGAGGAGATGGAGTGAAGAGACCGAGGGCAGGGAGAGGGAGGGGGGTGTGACGGGGTGGGGAAGTGAGGAGGAAGAGGGGGAAGAGCTACTGGGGAGGAGGAAGATGGGGGAGGAAGAGGATGATGGGGTGGGGTGGTTCAGGGAGTGAATAGGCCGGGTTGGGTGAGATGAGGCTGGGTGTATGTGCTTGAGGAGTCCGGGAGTGCGGAGGGGCAGAAAGGTAGACAGTGCGTGCGGGAAGAGGGGATGGGGGTGGGGAGGCGAGGGCGGTCAGTGGGTTGAGAGGAGTGGGGAGAAGATTTAGGGCGAGAGAGGTGCCATCGTGCTGGGGAAGGCGGGACTAGGAGAGGTAAAAGAATGGGGAGAGAAATGGGAGGGAGAGAAGGAAGCTGAGGGAGATTTGAGGAGAGAAGGCGCTTGAGGGGGAACCAGGAGGGGAGAAGGCTTGTGAGGGGGAAATGTGAGAGGAGAAGGGGCGCGAGGGGGAACCGCGAGGGGAGAAGGGGCGCGAGGGGGAAAAGCGAGGGGAGAAGGGGTCCCGCCTCCTGGCC